>NT_167246.2:2805333-2915476 GCF_000001405.40 Homo sapiens
GGCCAGCACCCCCACCCCTTGCTTTGTTTTTAATTTTTAACTTTTGTTTGGGTACATAGTAGATATGTATGTATATATTTATGGGGTACATGGGATATTTTCACACAGGCCTACAATATGTCATAATCACATCAGGGTAAATGGGTTATCTATCACAACAAGCATTTATCCTTTCTTTGTGCTACAAACAATCCCATTATGCTCTTTCAGTTATTTTTAAATGTACAATAAATTATTGTTGGCTGTACTCACCCTGCTGTGCTATCTACTAGATCTTATTCATTCTAACTATATTTTTGTACCCATTAACCATCCGCACTCCCCCACTCCCCACTACCCTTCTCAGCCTCTGGTATTCGTCATTCTATTGTCTCTCCCCATGAGGTCCATTGTTTTAATTTTTGGCTGCCACAAATAAGTGAGAACATGCGAAGTTTGTCTCTCTGGGCCTGGGGCTTATTTCACTTCACATGATGACCTCCAGTTCTTTGCAAATGACATGATGGCTGAATAGTACTCCACATACACGTGTGCACCACATTTTCTTTCTCCATTCGTCTGTTGATGGACACTTAGGTCGCTTGCAGATCTTGGCTATTTTGAATAGTGCTGCAATAAACATGGAAAAGTAGATAGCTCTTTAATATACCGATTTCCTTTCTTTTGGGTATATGCCTAACAGTGGGAGTGCTGGAGCATATGACAGCTCTATTATATTTTTAGTTTTTGGAAGAACCTCCACATTATTTCCCACAGTGGTTATACTAGTTTACGTTCCCACCAACAGTGTACAAGGGTTCTCTTTTGCTACATCCTCACCAGGATTCCTTATTGCCTGTCTTCTGGATAAAAGCCAGTTTATCTGGGGTGGGATGATATCTCGTAGGAGTTTTGATTTGCCTTCATCTGATGACGAATGATGTTGAGCACCTTTTGATATACCTGTTTGCCATTTGTATGTCTTCTTTTGAGAAATGACTATTCAGATCTTTTGCTCATTTTTAAGTTGGATTATTAGATATTTTTCCTATAGAGTTGTTTGAGATCCTTATATGTTTTGGTTACTAATCCTTTGTCAGATGAATAGTTTGAAAATATTTTCTCCCATTCTTGGATGGTCTCTTCACTTTGTTTATTGTTTCCTTTGCTGTGCAGAAGCTTTTTAACTTGATATGATCCCATTTGTGCATTTTTACTTTGGTTGCCTGTGCTTGTGGGGTATTACTTAAAAAATCTTTGCCAGTCCAATATCTTAGAGAGTTTCCCCAATGTTTTCTTTCATAGTTTTCATAGTTTGAGGTCATAGATTTACATCTTTAATCCTTTTTGATTGGATTTTTATATGTGGTGAGAGATAGGGTCCAGTTTCATTCTTCTGCATAAGGATATCTAGTTTCCCCAGCACCATTTATTGAAGAGACTCTCCTTTGCCCTGTATGTGTTCTTGCTAACTTTGTTAGAAATAACTTCACTGTAGATATATGGATTTGTTTCTGGGTTCTCTATTCTGTTTCATTGGTCCGTGTGTCTGTTTTTATGCCACTACCATGCTGTTTTGATTACTCTAGCTCTGTAGTATAATTTGAAGTCAGATAATGTGATTCCTCTAGTTTTGTTCTTTTTGCTCAGGGTAGCTTTATCTATTCTGGGTTTTTTGTGATTCCATATACATTTTAGGATTGTTTTTCTATTTCTGTGAAGAATGTCATTGGTGTTTTGATAGCAATTGCATTGAATTTGTAGATTGCTTTGGGTAGGATGGATATTTTAACAAAATTGATTCTTCCGGCTGGGCACGGTGGCTCACTCCTGTAATCCCAGCACTTTGGGAGGCCGAGTCAGGTGGATCACTTGAGATCAGGAGTTCAAGACCAGCCTGATCAACATGGGGAAACCCCGCCTCTACTAAAAATACAAAATTAGCCAGGCGTGGTGGCATATGCCTGTAATCCCAGCTACTCAGGAAAGCTGAGGCAGGAGAATCGCTTGAACCCAGGAGGCAGAGGTTGTGGTGAGCTGAGATTGCACCATTGCACTCCAGCCTGGGCAACAGGAGCAAAACTCCATCTCAGAAAATAAAAATAAACATTGATTCTTCCAGTCCATGAACATGGAATGCCTTTTCCATTTTTTGTGTCCTCTTCAATGTTTTGCATCAGTGCTTTATAGTTTTTATTGGAGAGATCTTTCACTTCTTCAGTTAAGTCTATTCCTAGGTATTTTATTTTATTTGTAGCTAATGAAAATGGGATTCGTTTCTTGATTTCTTTTTCAGATTATTTGCTGTTAGCACATAGAAATGCTATTGTTTTTTGCATGTTGATTTTGTATCCTGCAACTTTACTGAATTTGTTCTTCAGTTCTAATAGTTTTTTGGTGGAGTCTTTAGGTTTTCCAAATATCAGACCACATGATGTGCAAACAAGGATAATTTGACTTCTTCTTTTCCAATTTTGATGCCCTTTATTTCCTTCTCCTGTCAGATTGCTCTAGCTAGGACTTGCAGTATTGTGTTGCATAACTGTAGTGAAAGTAGTCATCCTTGTCTTGTTCCAGATCTTAAAGAAAAGGCTTTCAGTTTTCCCCCATTCAGTATGTTACTAGCTGTGAGTTGTCATATATGGCTTTTATTATATTGAGGTCTGTTCCTTGTATACTCAGTTTTTTTAGAGTTTTTATCATGAAGGGATGTTAAACTTATCAAATGCTTTTTCAGTATCAATTGAAATGGTGATATGGCTTTTGTCCTTTATTCTGTTGATACGATGTATTACATTGATTGATTTGTGTATGCATACCTGGAATATATTCCACTTGGTCATGAAGAATGATCTTTTTAATATACTGTTGAATGTGGTTTGCTAGTATTTCATTGATGATATTTGCCTCAATGTTCATCAGGGATATAGGCCTGTAGTTTTCTTTTTTTGATGTGTCTTTGCCTGATTTTGATATCAGGATATTCCTGGCTTTGTAAAATGAGTTTGGAAGTATTCCCTCCTCCTCTGTTTTTCAGAACAATTTGAATAGGACTGATATTTCTTGTTCTTTAAACGTTTAATTGTGGTAAATTATACATTACATACATTTTACTGTTTTAACCGCTTTTAAGTGTATACTCGGTGGCATTAGATACATTCACATTTTTGTGCAACCCAAAACTCTGTACCCATTAATCGGTAACTCCCCATTCCTCCCTACCTCTGGCCCCTGGTAACCATCATTCTACTTTTTGTTTCTATGAATTTGACCACTCTAGGTACCTCATTTAAGTAGAATCGTGTAATGTTTGTCTTTTTGATTCTGGCTTATTTCACTTATAATATTTCGAGGTTCATCCAGGTTGTAGTATGGGTCAGATTTTCATTCCTTTTAATGATGAATAATACTCATTATATGTATGTACCACATCTTGGTTATCCATTCCTCAGACAATGGACACTTGGGTTACTTCTACCTTTTGGATATTGGCAAATATTTCATTTCTCTTGGGTATATATTTATTTCTTTTGAATATTTCTTTTGGGTATATATCCAGAAATAGAATTGTTGGATCATACGGTATTTCATTTTTTAATTTTTAGAGGAATCACCATAGTGTTTTCCATTGCAGGCGTGCCATTTTGTATTTCTAGAAGCAGTATACAGGGGCTTCAGTTTCTCTACCTCCTTGCCAAACTTGCTGTTTGTGTGTGTGTGTGTGTGTGTGTGTGTGTGTGTGTGATAATAGCCACCCTGATTGGTTTGAAGTGGTATCTCGTTGTGGTTTGGATTTGCATTTTCCTAATGAGTACTGATATTGAGCATCTTTTCATGTGTTTATTGATCATTTGTATATTTTCTTTGAAGAATTGGCCATTGAAGTCTTGCCCATTTTTCTCCCCCACATAGCTTCTCATGGCTATTTTGCCCATTTTTGAGTGGGTTGACTGTTTTGTTGTTTTTGTCAAACTTTTTTGCATATTCTGGAAACTAATCTCTCTCTTTTTTTTTTTTTTTTTTTTTTTTTTTTTTTTTTTTTTTTTTGAGATGGAGTCTTGCTCTGTTGCCCAGGCTGGAGTGCAGTGGCACGATCTCAGCTCACTGCAAGCTCCGCCCGCTAGCTTCATGCCATTCTCCCGCCTCAGCCTCCCGAGTAGCTGGGACTACAGGCGCCCGCCACCACACCCGGCTAATTTTTTGTATTTTTAGTAGAGATAGGGTTTCACCATGTTAGCCAGGATGGTCTCAATCTCCTGACCTGGTGATACACCCGCCTCGGCCTCCCAAAGTGCTGGAACTACAGGCTTGAGCCACCACGCCTGGCCTTCTGGAAACTAATCTCTTATCAGATATATGACTTGCAATATTTATTTCATTTCAGGGGTTGATTGCTTTCTCACTCTGTGCCCTTTGATGCACAGATATTTTGAATTTTTCATGAGTCTAGTTTGTCAGTTCTTTCTATTCTATCTGTGCTTTGGCGTCATATCCATGAAAGCACTGTCAAACCCTATGTCATGAACATTATACCCAATGTTTTTTTCTAAGATATTTTTATGTTTTAGTTCTTGAGTTTAGAGTTTAGGTCTTTGATTCATTTTGAGTTAATTTTTGTATATAGTACAAATTAAGGGTCCAATTTTATATTATTTGAACATCCAGTTCCCCCAGCACTATTTGCTGAAAAGATGGACTTACTCTTTGAGACCCTGTCACCTGCCCACCCCAGTGGACACTAGCTGGTCCATCCAATTGCTGTCCTGGGGCCTTGTCATGCTACTCTTCCACTTTGGACCCAAGCCCACATCATTGCTCCCCTCTGGGATACTGACCCCACTATAAACTTCTCTGGGGCTACAACCTTCCTACCCCTTGTGCCTCATGACCACCCCCTCCCTTGTCCCCACCATGCCCATGATGAGTCTTTTCTCGAGGCAGCTCGCCTTGCCTCCATCTCACCCTCACCTGTGCACCACAGCCACACTGGACATGGGTCCCTCTGAGCCTGAGTCCCTTCCCATTCCCACCGTCCCCTCTGGCAAGACCTTCCTTCCAACACTGCCTTCATGCTCCTCCCTCGCCCCTGCAGGGCAGCCTCTCCCCTTGGCCCCTATTCCCTTAGGGGGCTTGTGGCCACCCAGTCCTGGCACCTGACCTACAAGTTTGCCATCTTCATTCCCCCTTCTTCTGTTCATCAGCCCCCTCCTCTATCCTCCCACCCTCACAGTTTTCCTTGTATATGAAATCTTCGTTCTTGTCCTTTTGCCCATGTGCATTTCCTGCCTCCTCAGGGAGGTCGGGACAGCAGACCTGTGTGTTAAACATCAATGTGAAGTTATTTCCAGGAAGAAGTTTCACCTGTGATTTCCTCTTCCCCAGAGCCCCACAGTCTTCGTTACAACCTCATGGTGCTGTCCCAGGATGGATCTGTGCAGTCAGGGTTTCTCGCTGAGGGACATCTGGATGGTCAGCCCTTCCTGCGCTATGACAGGCAGAAACGCAGGGCAAAGCCCCAGGGACAGTGGGCAGAAGATGTCCTGGGAGCTAAGACCTGGGACACAGAGACCGAGGACTTGACAGAGAATGGGCAAGACCTCAGGAGGACCCTGACTCATATCAAGGACCAGAAAGGAGGTGAGAGTCGGCAGGGGCAAGAGTAATGGGAGGCCTTCTCCAGGAAAGTTGGAGACAGAGAGCAGGGACCTGTCTCTTCCCGCTGGATCTGGCTGGGGGTGGGGATGAGGAATAGGGTCAGGGAGGCTCAGCAGGGTGGTGAGCCGGAACTCAGCCCACACAGGGAGGCATGGAGGAGGGCCAGGGAGGGGTCGCCGCTGGGCTGAGTTCCTCACTTGGGTGGAAAGGTGATGGGTTCGGGAATGGAGAAGTCACTGCTGGGTGGGGGCAGGCTTGCATTCCCTCCAGGAGATTAGGGTCTGTGAGATCCATGAAGACAGCAGCACCAGGGGCTCCCGGCATTTCTACTACGATGGGGAGCTCTTCCTCTCCCAAAACCTGGAGACTCAAGAATCGACAGTGCCCCAGTCCTCCAGAGCTCAGACCTTGGCTATGAACGTCACAAATTTCTGGAAGGAAGATGCCATGAAGACCAAGACACACTATCGCGCTATGCAGGCAGACTGCCTGCAGAAACTACAGCGATATCTGAAATCCGGGGTGGCCATCAGGAGAACAGGTACCGACCCTGGCCAGGGGCTCTACTGTTCCCGCAATTCTGCTAGAGTTGCCTCGCCTCCCAGCTCTGTCCGGGGAAACCCTCCCTGTGCTATGGATGCAGGCGTTTCCTGTTGGCATATTGTGTCCTGATTTGCCTCTCCTGTTAGAGCCATTGGATAAAGACAGTGGGTCTGGGACTGAACTGTCCAGTGTTGTAATCTGGGAAAGCAGTGGGCCCTCTGACAGAAGCCTGAGCCTGGGGTGGGAGTTAGGCAGGAGAGGAAGCCCTCAGGGCCAGGGCTGCCCCCTCTGCCTCCCGGCCTGCCCATCCCGGAGAGTTCCCTCCTGGCCCCATGACCCAGGAGTCCACCCTTGACATCCCCCTCCTCAGCATCAATGTGGGGATCCCAGAGCCTGAGGCCACAGTCCCAAGGCCCATCCTCCTGCTAGCCTGGAGGAATTAGGCCCCAGGGTGAGGACAGACTTACAGAAGGTCCGGGATCTGTGAGGGATTCAGCCAGAGTGAGAACAGTGGAGAGGAGCAGCCCTGTTCCCTGCATCTCCCTTAGAGGGGAGCAGGGCTTCACTGGCTCTGCCCTTTCTTCTCCAGTGCCCCCCATGGTGAATGTCACCTGCAGCGAGGTCTCAGAGGGCAACATCACCGTGACATGCAGGGCTTCCAGCTTCTATCCCCGGAATATCACACTGACCTGGCGTCAGGATGGGGTATCTTTGAGCCACAACACCCAGCAGTGGGGGGATGTCCTGCCTGATGGGAATGGAACCTACCAGACCTGGGTGGCCACCAGGATTCGCCAAGGAGAGGAGCAGAGGTTCACCTGCTACATGGAACACAGCGGGAATCACGGCACTCACCCTGTGCCCTCTGGTGAGCCTGGGGTGACCCTGGAGAGGGTCAGGCCAGGGTAGGAACAGCAGGGACGGCTGTGGCTCTCTGCCCAGTGTATAACAAGTCCCTTTTTTTCAGGGAAGGCGCTGGTGCTTCAGAGTCAACGGACAGACTTTCCATATGTTTCTGCTGCTATGCCATGTTTTGTTATTATTATTATTCTCTGTGTCCCTTGTTGCAAGAAGAAAACATCAGCGGCAGAGGGTCCAGGTGAGAAAAGGGGACAGTTTCTGGAGATGGGAAAGCTCCTTTCTAGGCAGTAGGGTCTCCTCATTGCTCCTGCCCAGACAAGACGTAGGTGACAAGGCTGCTGGAACAGGGGATGGAAGCTGGGGTATTTGGGAGGGGAATGGGAGCTGCATCTCCATCTACACCCATAAGTGCTTCTCAAGCCAGGGCTGGGGCAAGGCCTTCGAATATCCAGCTGTGGCCTCCTCCTGCTGCAAGTGAGGAGTGGGCAGCAGGGAGGGCTGTGGCACCTGCTCTGTCCCCATCCCAGCCTCTCTGTCTCTCGGGCTCACTAGGGTGCGTCCAGGTGGGGTGAGTTGGGAATCACGTGCTGATTGCTGAGGGCCTGGATGATCATGGTGTCAGAGGGAGGAAATAGTAAAGGTGGCTGTGATCTGGGGAGGGCCAGAAACTGGAGAGGAATCCAAGGAGAGGCGGTGCCCACCCGTGTGCCTCCTCCAGGAGGCACTTTCCAGGTTCCCACCACCTGGCCTCCCTGAGTTTCCTTGCAGATGACACAGATGAATAGATAAGCAGATGTCCCTGGGCCATTTGAGGAGCGGGGCCCAGCCCCTCATCAGGGCAGATGTGGTCCCTGTTTTCATCCTACCTCCAGCGTGTTTTCTTCTGCAGTCCCTGAGGGACACAGTCCCCAGGCGCCATCTCTTTGAGGCTTTGTTCTGTGCTCTGTGGCCTTACCTTGCCCTCCCTGAGCCAATTTCCCTTTCTCAAGGTGGTCACTGCCTGGTAAGTTTGGAGTAAGGGACGGTCAGAAGCATTTCCCCCACAGTCAGGTTGTTTGATGGGGGATGAAAAGAGACAGCAGAAGTTTTGTGTTTCTGCAAAAACAGAGGCAGTGCAGGGGACAGTGAGAGGCTGGGGTGTCCAGGAGACCTGAGTCTGGCGGTAGGGGCGCTGGTTTCTCATCCTTGAACCTAATTGCACTGTCAGTCGGCCCCTCATGCCTGAGCAGATGGGAAGGTTCGTCCCCTGCCCTGCAGCAAGAGGGCCCTGTCCAGGAGGCACCCACAGCAGGGGCAGTGCAGGTCTGTGGTCACTCCTGCTCTCACCTGCGGCGTCTCCCGTGGAGGGATTGTCACTTCTGGTTCCCTGTGGGCAGGAATGGTTTCCTCGTAGGTCACTGGGGTTTTGGCCAGGAAAAGGGTATGAAATTCATGTGCCAGTTTATCAAAATTCCTGCTTTCAATGTTGATGTCCAATAAAGATGTTCGTAATTTCAGCTCTATAATCTTAATAGGATTTCCTCTAATACTGCTGTTGTAAAGCATATTAAATAAAACAGGAACTCAAATTTGGAGCCCCCTCTCCAGAAGGGTCTGTGTGGAGATGGTGGCTGTGGCAGCGGCAGTTCCCAGGTGCAGAGGGTGGGCAGAGGCAGCCTCAGGCTAAGGGGTCTCCCCTACTCCACGTGGAGAAAAGTCCTTGTAGGTTGCAAGGGCAGTGGCCTGGGTGGAATCCCTGCTAGGGACAGAGCAGGAAGGCCTCGCAGCCTCACCAAGCAGCAGCTCTGGGGTGAAGTAAGTGGACCAGGAGTAAGTGGACCAGGCAGGAGCAGTAGTGACTCAACAGCAGGTCACAGGCCTAGGTGGGTGCTGAAGGTCATGGGAGGCCAGGCCTCCTCGAGCAAGGTGGGGGGTCCCAGGGTCATGTCAGGTGCAGATCCTGTGGCAGCCATGTCTTTCCATGCTGGGCCTGCTGGGCCCCCCAGGCTTCCTGATGGGGTCCCCAGTTAGGAGCTGCCTGCTCAGGGCTGGGAGGGGAGGAGTGCTGAGCTGCAGATAGAGGGCAGGGCCCACAGTGGGCAGGGCCTGCCCTGGTGTGCAGGTGCCTCTGCAGGAGAGGAGGGCCTGGGGACTGAGAGCAAGGGTCAGGGCCTCTCTTTGGGGAGGCCTCTCACTGTAACAGGACTGGTCAGGCCTGAGAGGAGGGCACTGGGTTCCCTCTTGGGTCTTGTCCTTTTGTCTTGGGGCCCTTTCACTCCCTGCACGGTGAGTGGTGGGCACAGGACAGGGGCTGATGTTGATGGAGTGATGGGAGAGAACTGACAGGGGCTGGGAAAAGCAAGGAGGGAGGAAGAAAAAAGTGGGGGCCTCATCTTCTCTCAGAGAAAGGGTGAATCTGATTTTGGGGCAACTGAAGAGAGAAAAGTCCTTAGGGAATAAACACAACACTGCACCCAGTGGAGCATTTACCCGTTTCCCTCTTCTCCAGAGCTTGTGAGCCTGCAGGTCCTGGATCAACACCCAGTTGGGACAGGAGACCACAGGGATGCAGCACAGCTGGGATTTCAGCCTCTGATGTCAGCTACTGGGTCCACTGGTTCCACTGAGGGCGCCTAGACTCTACAGCCAGGCGGCCAGGATTCAACTCCCTGCCTGGATCTCACCAGCACTTTCCCTCTGTTTCCTGACCTATGAAACAGAAAATAACATCACTTATTTATTGTTGTTGGATGCTGCAAAGTGTTAGTAGGTATGAGGTGTTTGCTGCTCTGCCACGTAGAGAGCCAGCAAAGGGATCATGACCAACTCAACATTCCATTGGAGGCTATATGATCAAACAGCAAATTGTTTATCATGAATGCAGGATGTGGGCAAACTCACGACTGCTCCTGCCAACAGAAGGTTTGCTGAGGGCATTCACTCCATGGTGCTCATTGGAGTTATCTACTGGGTCATCTAGAGCCTATTGTTTGAGGAATGCAGTCTTACAAGCCTACTCTGGACCCAGCAGCTGACTCCTTCTTCCACCCCTCTTCTTGCTATCTCCTATACCAATAAATACGAAGGGCTGTGGAAGATCAGAGCCCTTGTTCACGAGAAGCAAGAAGCCCCCTGACCCCTTGTTCCAAATATACTCTTTTGTCTTTCTCTTTATTCCCACGTTCGCCCTTTGTTCAGTCCAATACAGGGTTGTGGGGCCCTTAACAGTGCCATATTAATTGGTATCATTATTTCTGTTGTTTTTGTTTTTGTTTTTGTTTTTGTTTTTGAGACAGAGTCTCACTCTGTCACCCAGGCTGCAGTTCACTGGTGTGATCTCAGCTCACTGCAACCTCTGCCTCCCAGGTTCAAGCACTTCTCGTACCTCAGACTCCCGAATAGCTGGGATTACAGACAGGCACCACCACACCCAGCTAATTTTTGTATTTTTTGTAGAGACGGGGTTTCGCCAAGTTGACCAGCCCAGTTTCAAACTCCTGACCTCAGGTGATCTGCCTGCCTTGGCATCCCAAAGTGCTGGGATTACAAGAATGAGCCACCGTGCCTGGCCTATTTTATTATATTGTAATATATTTTATTATATTAGCCACCATGCCTGTCCTATTTTCTTATGTTTTAATATATTTTAATATATTACATGTGCAGTAATTAGATTATCATGGGTGAACTTTATGAGTGAGTATCTTGGTGATGACTCCTCCTGACCAGCCCAGGACCAGCTTTCTTGTCACCTTGAGGTCCCCTCGCCCCGTCACACCGTTATGCATTACTCTGTGTCTACTATTATGTGTGCATAATTTATACCGTAAATGTTTACTCTTTAAATAGACATTTCTGGTCTGTGTTTTATTTCATGCGTCTGGGAGCGGATAAAGTGTGAGGTTCAGGGAGAAGGAGAGGTCTGTCTCAATGCCTTGACCCAGCATCAAAGCAATCTCCCCTCCTTGTTCCCTTTCCCTGCTAGTTCCCAATGACTGACAGATTCACAGCAGAACAGAAAGGACTGGGAAGGGATGGAGGTGGGACATCTGGCGCCAATATTCAGGGGCTGACTCTGTGAGGGAACATCTGCCCTGAAGAGTTGGAGCCTTCATGTGATGACACAGAGATCTCTGTCACTGTATTCAGGGAAAGGATCAAGCCTCACTCCCCATGCAGGGAGGAGGTTCTGGCTGTGATCCGGCCTGTGGGAGAAGTGAGGACCCGCTCCCTCTACAGTGACAGCCAAGAACCTGCAGGTGACAGAGAAGGCTTCCCCTCAACTGTCTCCTATCAGGTTCTTCCAGGCATCAAGGAATAGACCTGGGACATTGCCTCCAGTGACATGAACACACCCAGAAGTGAGGTGGCCCTGCCAGGGGGTCCTGGTGCTGCCACTTGTTTTGGGAGCTCAGTGTCTGGAGAGGGGTGTGGAGAGTAGGCTTTCTGCAAAACAGTAATCATGACCTATAAATTATTTTATTCTTCATTAGCTTTTTGCCATAAAATAAAACAGGTACCCAAAAAGAAAAACTGTCTGAAAATGTTGCCCTTTAATAATAATAATAAATAATAATAATAAAAGATAAACACCCTTTAACCACCAGAGATATAGAAGTTTGTCAGCCAGCCCAGAAACCATCATTTGCCCCAGCTCAGTGATAAAGGCTTCCCTTCCCCACATAAAATCACAGCCTGACCTTTATGATGATTGCTTCTTTGTTCTATTTTATATTTTCATCCTCTGAAATTGTAGTTTAGTTTTACCTTGGGATGTATAATTTTTGTTCTCTTTTTTCTTTTTTTTTTTTAAGACGGAGTCTCACTCTGTCACCCAGGCTGGAGTGCAGTGGCATGATCTCGGCTCACTGCAAGCTCCGCCTCACGGGTTCATGCGATTCTCCTGCCTCAGCCTCCCGAGTAGCTGGGACTACAGGCGTCTGCCACCACGCCCGGCTAATTTTTTTGTATTTTTAGTAGAGACAGGGTTTCACCATGTTAGCCAGGATGGTCTCAATCTCCTGACCTCATGATCTGCCTGCCTCGGCCTCCCAAAGTGCTGGGATTACAGGCGTGAGCCACCGCACCTGGCCTGTTCTCTTTTTTTCTCTATGCTCCTCCTTGAAATTTTATTGTCTGGCTGAGTTTTCCATAGTTTGCATTTTGCTGGCTCCACCCCAAGGCATAGTTTAATATGGACCTGTTTTATCTGTACTTTCTATAAATTGGTAGTTGGCTACAGAGATTTGCTTATAGACTGACTTGATTTTCTTCTTGAATACTTCATTTATGGCACTCCATTGTATTCTTCCATCAGGAGGAAGAACTTAGTACTGGTTATTTACTTTTACTCTACTTTTAATTGCCATTGCTTTTCAATGGCTAAATCTGTTAATTCGTTATGGGTTGCAAAAGAATTATAGTCTCAGTCTCTCATTCCTTCCCCATTCACTAGCTGAATAATTTCTAAAATAAGAGATTTACCCTTGGCTGGATGCGGTGACTTACGCCTGTAATCCCAGCACTTTGGGAGGCCGAGGCTGGTGGATCACCTGAGGTCGGGAGTTCAAGACCATCCTGACCAACATGAAGAAACTGTGTCTCTACTAAAAACACAAAATTAGCCGGGAGTGGTGGCGCATGCCTGTAATCCCAGCTACTCGGGAGGCGGAAGTAGGAGAATTGCTTAAACCGGGAAGGCGGAGGTTGCAGTGAGCCGAGATGGCGCCATTGCACTCCAGCCTGGGCATCAAGAGTGAAACTCCGTCTCAAAATAAATAAATAAATAAAGTGGAGCACTTGACGGCCATGGGAGAGAATCGGCTATAACCACACACAGCAAGATGATGAGCCCAGCAAAGATGATGAGCCCGACTACATGAAAACAACTTCTAATTTCATTCAATCAGAACCAACAGAACTCATCTACAGTGTTAAAAATCAAGACAGTGGCTACTCTAGGGTGGGGGAGGCTGGTTTATGACTCAACGGTGTTTCTTGGAGGGTGAAAATGATGTTGCTTGATGAAGGTGTTGTTTATCTGAGTTTTTACTTGGGCAAAACCCACTGCCCACCTGTGATTTGTCCACCTTTCTCCATGCATGTTGTCCTTCATTCAAGTTTACATTTCTGGTGTTTTGAAACAATTCTCTCTAAGCTAATATAGAATTTCTCCTACTCCAAGTCCTTAGAAATGCTGCATTGAAAATACCAGTGAATTTTTTTTTTAATTCCAGGAAATAAATGCCCGTGACTCAGATATAAAAAGGAGAATCTACAAGAGCAGTAGGCTTGGGAGCTGACACCAGAACAGCTTTGGAAAGGGCTGTCGAGCCAGGAACTAGGAATCAAAACCCAAACAAGACCACAGGAGGTAGAGGGTAGAAATTATGCCCCAGTAGTGCATGAATGAATGAATCAAGGGCAGTGACTCATGGGTTGCCTGGCCAGTCTGGAACTTGGGGAAAATAAAGTTGGAAAATTGGGGGATGGAAGAGAGAAGTGTGCACTGACCACTTTCCATGGGAAGAGCATGTGAAGATAGAGGTTGCATATGGATGCCTGCCAGAGGGTCTCCAAGGGGCTGGGGCTCCCTGTAACCAGGTGAGCGAGATGGCTTGATGGATGATGCCACTCAGCCGCACAAGGCTTGCTCATGAGTCCCTGCACAAAGTGGCCGTGGTGGCTGGGATGGACACTGCATGGACAGAGCAATTGAGTCACCACTCACCAAGGCTGACCTGGCAGCTGCCACTGCTGAGGACCCAGCCTGCCAAAAGCAGCTGTTTCTTTGAACAGAGAAAAAAAACAGACAATGTTAATTAAGAGCAAGACAGTGTTATGACAGATAAATATGCCACTGCAGCTATAGTAGAGATGTAAACAATCTTGAAATTATAAAAAAAAAAATGTCGATGGAAAAGACTTACTGCAAGTAAGAAGTTAAAACAGTTGTAAAAATTCTATCTCTGCCCAACTATATACAGATTGTTTCACAGGGAAGTCCTACTAAACCTTCAAAGAAGGTTATTGGACTTATTTAAAATATTCAAGAGAATGGAGCAAAATACAGAAAGCTAGGCAACTCACTTTATCAGCTATGAATAGTGTTAATTCTAAAGCCAGTTAGGGAACAAATAATAAAGAAACAAGATGGGAAAATCACTATTAGTAATTAGATGTAAAATAGATGAGAAAAATAGTAGACTGTGTCCATCAGTGTGCTATAAACAAATTAAATATCTTGACCAAGTTATGAATCCCAAGAATAAAAGAATATTTAAACTTTAAATCTTTTAATGCATTTTAACACTTAATTCAATAATTTAAAAAGAGACAATCATATTTCACTAGATGTAGAAATCACTGTAGATGAAATCTAACACTACACCTGACCTACATTTCTTCAGTTATCTCCACTTTTAAGAATTTGTGATCAGTGCAGCACTATTCACAATAGCAAAGGTAAGGAATCAACCCAGATGCCCATCAACAGTGGAATGGATAAAGAAAACTGCGGCACAGGGCCAGGCGTGGTGGCTCACGCCTGTAATCCCAGCACTTTGGGAGGGTGAGGCGGGCAGATCACGAAGTCAGGAGTTCGAGACCATCCTGGCTAACACAGTGAAACCCCGTCTCTACTAAAAATACAAAAAATTAGCCGGGTGTGGTGGCGGGCACCTGTAGTCCCAGCTACTCGGGAGGCTGAGGCAGGAGAATGGCATGAACCCAGGAGGTGGAGTTTGCAGTGAGCCGAGATCACGCCACTGCACTCCAGCCTGGGTGACAGAATGAGACTCCGTCTCAAAAAAAAAAAGAAAAGAAAAGAAAAGAAAACTGCAGCACTTATACACCATGGTACGCTACCCAGCCAAAAAACAAGAACGAAATCATGTCCTTCACAGCAACATGGATGGAGGTGGAGACCATTATTCTAAGCAAATTAATGTAGGAACAGAAAGCCAAATACCACATATTCTCACCTATAAGTGGCAGCTAAACATTGAGTACACATGGACACAAAGAAGGGAACAATAGACACTGGGGCCTCCTTGAGGGTGGAGGGTGGGAGGAGGGGGAGGATTAAAAAACTGCCTATTGGGTATTGTGCTGATTACCTGAGTAACAAAATTATCTGCACACCAAACACCCGTGATACACAATTTACCCATGTAACAAACCTGAATATGTATCCCTTGAACCTAAAAAATCAAAAAGAAAAAAGTAAAAAAGAATTCCTGATCAGATTGAGCCAGGACAATGGCCGGGCGTGGTGGCTCACGCCTGTAATCCCAGCACTTTGGGAGGCCGAGGCAGGTGGTCAGGGTAGGCCTCTTGGAGGAGCCATGTGAGCAGACTTGAGAAGGAGAGACACAGCCATGCAGATATTTGAAGGAAGAACCTTCCAGTATCCCGCTCTAAGCATACCCAGGACTCTGCTCTGGGGCAGACCCTAAAGCTGCAGTGGAAATGGAGGTGGCCACACTCACAGAGACTGTGGCAGAGAGTGATGGGGATTTGGGTCTCCCCTTCCTGCTGTGGCTGTTAGAAGTGCTGGAGTTGGGGAGGGAAAGGCACTGGCATGTGGAGGAAGACTAGGAGAGGAGGGGAGGCTGAAGTGTGTCCCACTCTCACTCCACCTCTCTGTTCTCTATCTCCTGCATCCGGTGCCTCCCCGACTTCCCCAAAGTTGTGGTCCCTGACAAGGAGGACCCTGAGGGCAACCACACCTTGCCATGTAGAGCACCTGGCTTCTCACTTGCCAACATCACTCTGACCTGGCTGCAGGAAGGGGAGGAGCCAACTCTGGACTCAAGACTCAAGGGGACCAGACCCAGGAAGATGAGACATATCAGGGCTGGGCAGCTGTGGGGGGCCCTCCCAGAGAAGGCCTGAGATACACCTGCCTGCAGGTGCTCCTGGGCCTGGAGAAGCCCCTCAGTGTGACTAGGTGAGGTGTTGTCAGAGGACCAGAGGCTGAGGGTGGGGCGTCCCATCCAGATCCTGCCCCCCTCTCTGCCCCAGCACCCAAGGCCCCTTCCTCCCTCCTCTATGGAGATGCTGGGGATGTCCTCATTCTCCCTCTGAGCACTCACATCTCACCCCTCATCTGTCTCTCTAACCTCCTTCCTTCCTGCTGCAGCTTCTGCCCCAGCCCCAGGCTCTGGCCTCTCTCTCCCCAGTTCCACCCTCCAGGGGGTGATGGTTCACTTCCCTCTGAGGAGCCAGCACTAGGTGAGAGGCTAGGAGAAGGAAAAGCTCATGGGCCATGGGTTGGGAGGGAGAATGGGCACTGAAATGGAAGGGTAGGGAGACAGAAGAGGCAGGTATTTCCAAATCACCATTTTTCTGTCATGGTCCAAGGGTGCCATCCTTCTCCCAGGCCCAGGGATGTGGAAAGAGCAGCAGGAATTGGGAAATACTCCACAGGAAAGAACAATGTGCCTCCTCCCTCCACCGGCTTCTTCCTCTTGTCTATTCTGGTCAATTCTCTAAGTGAATCATGTTACCAAAATGTAAAATGTTTATTTTAGGAAAGTCTCCAAATATTAGGGAATAAAATTACTAGTGCCTAAGCCCTGCATACTGAAAAACAGAAGCTTTAAGAAATAAAGACCTGCATGGAAAATTGCTCATCAACTCGGGGAAGTCAAAGTCTGAGCTGAATCAGCTCTTTTTTTCTTTCTCTTTTTTTTTTTTTTTTTCTTTTTTTGAGACGGAGTCTTGCTCTGTCGCCCAGGCTGGAGTGCAGTGGCATGATCTCAGCTCACTGCAACCTCTGCCTCCCCGACTCAAGCAATTCTCCTGTCTCAGGCTCCCAAGTAGCTGGGATTACAGGCATGCGCCACCATGCCCAGCTAATTTTTGTATTTTTCAGCAGAGACGAGGTTTCGCCATGTTGGCCAGGCTGGTCTCAAACTCCTGACCTCAGGTGATCCGCCTGCCTCAGCCTGCCAAAGTTCTGGGATTACAGGCATGAGCCACCATGCCCAGCTGAATCAGCTCTAAAGTGGTGCTGAAGTGAGAGCCATTTATGTGCCTGTGTGAGTTCACACAGGTCTTGAGACCTCTGTGTCCTCCTTAGAAGAGTGAAGTGAGCACCCAGTGCCTAGACCTTGGTTGTGATAAGTCATTCTCTGATAAAAGGATTCAGGGCTCCATAGAAAAACAGCTGATTCTAGGGCTGGCATAGGAAAAATATAAGGTGAGCCTGGAACATCTTGTAATGCCAGAAAGTAACCGCCACCCATCTCCCAACCCTCACCACCAAAAAATAAGGGCATGTCAGAGGGACACAGGAGTCAACCTGAAAGAGCTCCCTATGGACAAAGCCGGAATAATCCGAGCAACAAAGTTACAATAGTATTGGATTATGACCCAAAATATAAATAAATATTCATTCCACACTGATTTATTTAATCAAAAATAATTAAATAAATAAATAGGGAAGAAGGGGCAAATCTTCCTTACAGAAGAATTTCAAAACATATATTACGAGAATCTCTTTCCCAGGAGATTGGAATTTTATTTCTCTCACCTTGAATATGGGCTGGACTTGCTGACTTGCTTCCAAAGACTAGAGTATGAAAAAGGAAAAATAATAACTTTACAGTGGAGAAATGTAGCAGACACTACCAAGCAATCAGAGTCATGTTAACATCTTGCCCCCCAGAAATGATGTGATGAGGACACTCCCCTCTATGGTATTCTTCCCTTAAACCCATAACCCCAATCTAATCATAAGGAAGCATCAGGCAAACCCAAAGTGAGGGACATCCTACAAATTATCTATCCAGTATTCTTCAAAACTTTCAAGGTCATGAAAACAGGTAAAGACTGAGAAACTCATGATCAGAAAGACTAGGGAGACCCAAAAGCTAAATGCATTAATGGGCCCTGGAAAAACTGGTGAAGTCCAAATAAAGTCTACAGTTTAGCGAATAGTATTATAGCAATGTTAATTTCTTAGTTTCTTAGTCTTGACAGAATTTTGTTAGATGTTAACATTAAGGAAAGCTGGGGTTTATGGAAACTCTGTGTTCTAGCTTTGCAACTCTTTAAATCTATTATTGTTATTGTTATTGGGTTTTTTTGTTTGTTTTGTTTTTGTTTTTTTTTGAGATGGAGTCTCGCTCTGTCGCCCAGGCTGGAGTGCAATGGCGCGATCTCAGCTCACTGCAACCTCCACCTCCTGGGTTCAAGCAATTGCCCTGCCTCAGCCTCCCCAGTAGCTGGGATTCCAGGCACCCGTCACCACGCTCGGCTAGTTTTTGTATTTTTAGTAGAGATGGGGTTTCGCCATGTTGGCCAGGGTGGTCTCGAACTCCCGACCTCAGGTGATCTGTCCGCCTCGGCCTCCCAAAGTTAAATCTATTATTATTCAAAACAAATTTAACTAAAAGTGAAATGAAGCTAGGTACAGTAGCTCATGCCTGTAATCCCAGCCCTTTGGGAGGCCAATTTAAGCCCAGGAGTTTGAGAGAAGCCTGGGCAACATAGTGAGACCTTGTCTTATAAAAAAAATTAATTTAAAAAATGAAATGAATAGACATATATTAAATAAATTAAATCGATAATTAATAACATTCAGAAACAGAAAACATCAGCCCCAAATGGGTTTACTGATAAATTCTATCAAACATTTAAGGAAAAAATTATACCAATTTTCTATAATCTCTTCCAGAAGACATACTTTCTTTTGTTGTTGTTGTTATTCAGTGTTAATTTCATAATCATAAACTTAATGCTGCAATCCAGCTAGGCATGGAAGGGAACAAGGAAAACATGAAACCCAAAGGGAACTGCAGTGAGAGCACAAAGATTCTAGATACTGCGAGCAGATGGATGGAGGGTGCTCTCCTGAGCTACAGAAGCAATGGTCTAGTGGTTAAGATAAAACACAAGTCAGGCCGGGCGCGGTGGCTCACACCTGTAATTCCAGCACTTTGGGAGGCTGACGCAGGTGGGATCACCTGAGGTCAGGAGTTCAAGACCAGCCTGACCAACACGGAGAAACCCCGTCTCTACTAAAAATACAGAATTAGCCAGGTGTGGTGGCGCATGCCTGTAATCCCAGCTACTCGGGAGGCTGAGGCAGGAGAATCGCCTGAACTCAGGAAGCAGAGGTTGCAGTGAGCCGAGATGGCGCCATTGCACTCCAGCCTGGCAACAAGAGTGAAACTCAGTCTCAAAAAAAAAACACAAGTCAAACTTAGTCAAGTTGTGTACAGTCAGCGATGGTGATCTTCTTGATGGTCTTGCCATTCCCAGACCCGAAGTGCTCCATGGCCTCCACAATATTCATGCCATCTTTCACCTTGCCAAAGACCATGGGCTTGCCATCCAACCACTCAGTCTTGGCAGTGCAGATGAAAAACTGGGAATTGCCCGGGCTAGGTGGCTCATGCCGTAATCCCAGCACTTTGGGAGGCCGAGATGGGCAGATCACCTGAGGTCAGGAGTTCAAGACCAGCCTGACCAACATGGTGAAACCCCGTCTCTAATAAAAATACAAATATTAGCCAGGCATGGTGGCGCATGCCTGTAATCCCAGCTACTCAGGAGGCTGAGGCAGGAGAATTGCTTGAACCTGGGAGGCGGAAGTTGCAGTGAGCCAAGATCGCGCCACTGCACTCCAGCCTGGGCGACAGAGTTAAGACTCCATCTCAAAAAAAAGAGAAAAAAGAAAAACCGGGAATCATTTGTGTTGGGTCCAGCATTTGCCATGGACAAGATGCCAGGACCTGTATGCTTTAGGATGAAGTTCTCATCATCAAATTTCTCCCCGTAGATGGACTTGCCACCAGTGCCATTATGGCGTGTGAAGTCACCACCCTGACACATAAACCCTGGAATAATTCTGTGAAAGGAGGAACATTTATAATCAAATCCTTTCTCTCCAGTGCTCAGAGCACGAAAGTTTTCTGCTGTCTTTGGAAACTTGTCTGCAAACAGCTTGAAGGAGACACAGCCCAAGGGCTCACCATTGACAGCGATGTTGAAGGACACGGTGGGGTTGACCATGGCTGATAGTATGGGGCTCCTGATGGTGGCGTCTGCAAAGCCAAGACAGACACTTTCTATCTCATTTCATGAGGCCGGGATTCCATGAGGGAATACTTTCTAACTAATTCCATGAGGCCAGCGTTAGCCAAATACCAAAATCAGATGAAGACTTCACAAAAAAAGAAAACCACAGACCAATATCTCTAATGAACATAGGTGCAAAAATCCTCAGCAAAATGCTAGCAAATCAAATCCACAATGTATGAGAAGAACAATACACCATGCCTAAGTAAGATTTATCCCAGGTATGCAAAGTTACTTCAACATTGGAAAATCAGTTAATGTAATCCATTAAATCAACTGGCTAAAGAAGAAAATCACATGATCATATCAATAGAGGCAGAAAAAGCAATTGACAACATCCAACACCCATTCATGATGATTAAAAAAAAAAAAATCTCTTAGCAAGCTAGGAATAGAGAAGACCTTACTCAACTTGATAAACAACATCCACAAAACTTCCACAGCTAACATCACACTTAATGGTGAGAAACTAAAAGCTTGCCTGCTAAGATCAGAACAAGGCAGGAATGACCCTCTCAACACAGCTTTTCAACGTTGTACTGGAAGTCCTAGCTAAAGTAGTAAGACAAGAAAAGGAACTAAAAGGTATACAAATTTGGAACAAGAAATAAAACTGTCTTTGTTTACAGACGATATGATTGTCTATGTAGAAAATCAAAAAGAATCCACACATAAAAAACTCCTGGAACTAACAAGCAATTATAGCAAGGTTGCAGGATATAAAGTTAATATGTAAAAGCCAATCACTTTTCTATGTATCAGCAATGAGCATGTAGAATTCGCCATTTAATTTTTTTTTTTTCAAGACGGAGTCTTGTTCTGTCGCCCAGGCTAGAGTGCAGTGGCGCGATCTCAACTCACTGCAACCTCCTCCTCCCAGGTTCAAGCAATTCTCCTGCCTCAGCCTCCTGAGTAGCTGGGATTACAGGTGTGCCCCACCATGCCCAGCTAATTTTTGTATTTTTAGTAGAGACGGGGTTTTACCATGTTGGCCAGGCTGATCTCGAACTTCTGACCTCATGTTCTGCCTGCCTCAGCCTCCCAAAGTGCTGGGATTACAGGCGTGAGCCACCGTGCCTGGTCCAGAATTTGCCATTTAAAACACAATACCACTTACATTAGCACCCCCAAAAATGAAACACTTAGGTACAAATCTAAGAAAATATGTACAAGATCTATATGAACAAAACTACAAAACTGACAAAAGAAATCAAAGAACTAAACAAATGGAGAGATATTCCATGTTCATAGTCAGGAAGGCTCAATACTGTTAATATATCTGTTCTTTCCAACTTGATCTGTGGAATGAATGCAATCTCAATAAAAAACCTCAGTAAGTTATTTTGTGGATATTAACAAACTGATTCAAACTTTATATGGTGAGGCAAAAGACCTAGCCAGCACAATATAGGAGAAAAATAAAGTCAAAGACCACCACTACCTGACTTAGACTTTCTATAAAGCCATAGTAATCAAGACAGAGTGGTGATTAGCATAGCCATTGTGGGAAACGGTATGGAGGTTCTGCAAAAATTTTAAAAATAGAAATACCACATGATCCAGCAATCCCACTAATGGGTATATATCCAAAGGATATGAAATCAGTACGTTGAGATATTTGCACTCCCATATTCATTGCATCATTATTCTTTTTTTTTTTTTTTTTCCTTTAGAGATAGAGTCTATGTTGCCCAGGGCAACTCCTGGCCTCAAGCGATCCTGCTGTCTCAGCTTCCCAATTATCTGGGATTATAAGCACGAGACACTGCACCTGGCTGCAGCATTATTCTCAATAGCCAAGATATAGAATCCACCTAAGTGTCCATCAATGGATGAATGGATAAAGAAAATGTGGTATATATAAAAAATGGAATACTATTCAGCCTTAAAAAACAAAATCCTGTCATTTGTGACAACATGGATGAACCTGGAAGACATTATGTTAAGTGAAATAAGCCAGGCACAGAAAGACAAATACAATCTCACTTATATGTGGAGTATAGAAAAAGCCAGACTCATAAATAGAGAGTAAACTGGTGGTTATCAGAGGCTGGGAGGTCGGGGAATTGGGGAGATGTTAGTCAAAGAACACAAGATTTCAGTTAGGAAGAATAAGTTCAAGAGATCTATTGTACCTTATGGTGACTAAACTTAATAACAACATATTGTGTATTTCAAAATAGTATGAGAATAGCTTTAAGCATTCTCATCACATACACACAAAATATGTATGTGAGGTAATATACATATTATTAAATTGTTTGGTTTATCCATTCCACAATGTGTGTGTATGTATGTGCATATATATATAAACATGATGTACACCACAAATGTATAAAATTAGTCAATCGAAAAATTAATTTTAGAAAGACAGAGTGGCATTGGCAAAGAATAGACAAATTGATCCACTTGAGCAGAATAGAGAGCCAAGAAATAGTCCCACATAAATACAAGGAGCAAAGACAATACAATAAAGATAGTCTTTTCAGCAAATGCTGCTGGAACAACTGGACAGCCATGTACAAGAAAAATGAAAAGAGCTCTCTTAAAAGGTTACTGTGAAAGCCACCTGTGACAGTAACAGAAAGTGCCCAGAAGGGTCTCTGACACTTAGTAATGTAATCTCTCTCACTGTAATGTAATGGCTAAACTTCAACATCCCTCAGCCCCCATCTCCATAAGACTTTCCCATAGAGGCAACAATGATTCCTGTCAGTCACCCAGTCCTGCCAATCCACTGGGTAGGATACAATATTGAGGGGCCCATCAGCACACTGGCCTTAGGGGGCTCTGCAGCCCCTTGACCTTGTGGATGATGCTGGCCTTAATCTCCTCTTGTCCGTGGCTAAAGACAGGCCCCTTCTGCGGAGGCCAGGCCAGAATGCTCATCTGATTAAGACTCTATATTAAGAGTCAGGAATAACAAAAACAACAATAAATAAATAAACACAGTAACATAATCTATGTGTCTTAGTCCGTTTCCTGCCGCTATAACAGAATAATACAGACTGGGTAATTTATTTTGTTGTTTTTTCAGACAGGGTCTCTCTCTGTCGCTCAGACTGGAGTGCAGTGGCATGATCTCGACTCACTGCAACCTCCACCTCCCAGACTCAAGTGATCCTCCCACCTCAGCCTCCTAAATAACTGGGACCACAGACCCGCACGACCACACCAGCTAATTTTTGTGTTTTTTTGTAGAGATGGGTTTTGCCATGTTGCCCAGGCTGGTCTCAAACTCCTGGGCTCAAGCCTTCCACCCACCTTGGCCTCCCAAAGTGCTGGGATTACAGGCTTGAGCCACCACACCCAGCACAGACTGGGTAATTTATAAAGAAAATAAATGTTTTTCCCACAGAGCTGGAGGCTGAGAAGTCCAAGAGCATGACACTGGCATCTTATGAGGGCCTGGCTGCAGTATCATCCCATAGTGAGAGGTGGAAGGGCAAAGAGGCTGAACTGATTTCTATCATGCCATACAATGGCATTAATCTATTCAATCTAATCAACCCTGAAAGGTCCCACATCGGCTGGGCACGGTGGCTCATGCCTGTAATCCCAGCACTTTGGGAGGCCAAGGCAGGTGGATCACCTGAGGTCAGGAGTTCAAGACCAGCCTGACCAATATGATGAAACCCCGTCTCTACTAAAAATACAAAAATTAGCTGGGCGTGGTGGCATGTGCCTGTAATTCCAGCTACTCAGGAGGCTGAGACAGGAGAATCACTTGAACATGGGAGGCGGAGGTTGCAGTGAGCTGAGATTGTGCCATTGCACTCCAGCCTGGGCAACAAGAGCGAAACTCCATCTCAAAAAAAGAAAAAAAAAAGTCTTGCATCTTAATACCATTAGGATAGCAATTAAATGTCAACACGAGTTTTGGTGGGGACATTCAACTTTAGCACTAGGTATTCTGGTTTATGTATTTTTTTAGCTTAATTCCTTCATTTCTACAATTATGAGATCCACGATTATCCACTATATTTGGTTTTCTTTCTTTTTGGTTTTGTTTTTTGTTTTTTGAGACAAGAGTCTCGCTCTGTCGCCAGGCTGGAGTGCAGTGGCATGATCTCAGCTCACTGTAACCTCTGGCTCCCGGGTTCAAGTGATTCTCCTGCCTCAGCCTCCCGAGTGGCTGGGACTACAGGCGTGCACCACCATGCCTGGCTAATTTTTGTATTTTTAGTAGAGACGGGGTTTCACCATGTTGGCCAGGATGGTCTCGATCTCTTGACCTCATGATCCGCCCGCCTCGGCCTCCCAAAGTGCTGAGATTACAGGTGTGAGCCACTGCGCCTGGCCTCATCCACTATATTTGAACCGACCCAAAGGCCAGTGCTTTCTTAATTAAGTTCCCACAGGTGAACAAAGCCAAAATTCAGATTCTATTTTATTTATGGTTTAGAATTACCTACTGTGAAAAAAAAAAAAACTAGCTACTATAAATTATTGGGGGTTAGTCCATTTAGTCCATTTTGGAGTTCATAACCTAAAGCAGAAACTCACATGGTTGAAATGTCACTTTCCCAAAGGATTGTTATTAGTGTATCATTTAGATTGTCTTGCAAAAGTCTCATTTGTTGTTTTTTCTAAATGGCTGCTAATCTTTTAAATTAACAGATAGAGGGCCAGGCACGGTGGTTCACACCTGTAATCCCAGCACTCTGGGAGGCTGAGGCAGTCGGATCACTTGAGGCCAGGTGTTCAAGACCAGCCTGGCCAACATGGTGAAACCCTGTCTGTACTAAAAATACAAAAATTAGCTCGGCATAGTGGCACACGTCTGTAATCCCAGCTTCTTGGGAGGCAGAGGCATAAGAATTGCTTGAACCCGGCAATCGGAGGTTCCAGCAAGCAGAGATTGTGCCATTGCACTCCAGCCTGGGTGACAGAGCATTGCTCTGTCCACCTCCCAAAAATGTAGTTAATTTTTTTTCTTTTCTTTTTTTTTTTTTTTTTTTTTTTTTGAGAGACGGAGTCTTGCTCTGTCGCCCAGGCTGGAGTGCAGTGGCACAATCTCAGCTCACTGCAACCTCCGCCTCCCAGGTTCAAGCAATTCTCCTGCCTCAGCCTCACAAGTAGCTGGGATTACAGGTGGCTACCACCACGCTTAGCTAATTTTTTGTATTTTTAGTAGAGACGGGGTTTCATCATGTTCGCCAGGCTAGTCTTGAACTCCTGACCTTAAGTGATCCCCCTGCCTCGGCCTCCCAAAGTGCCGGGATTACAAGCATGAGCCACTGCGCCCGGCCAACTTTCAATGTTAATTAGTTGTGGATTGTTTAACCATATACTGCATAGTTTCGCTTATCTATAATAACAGTAGTTTGGGGCTCTTATATTCTAATAATTAAGACTTTAGCTGTGTACACATTGCAATTAAAGTATGAGTCATGCATAACCTTATCACCAAGATACAAGAGGGAAAGCCCTTCTCCCCTAAAACTTTTACAAAGGTTCTGGGTTCTTTTTCCACTTAAGTGGGAAAAAGTCAGCTAATGAGGAACGTAAAGTCTTTGGCCTCATCTAAAGGTGCTTTGGCCCGCAAGTGTGAGAAGCACTGACCGCTGGGAAGTCCTCACTGCCTGGTTCCTGGACTCTTACACCATGGCAGAGGCCATCTTCCCTCCCAATGCAGAGTGATATCCAGATAGCGAGCTGGCTAGCAGCTGTCCACTCTCCAGCAATCCTGCCTTCTGGGGCATGGTTTTCTAAGGACCTTCCTGTTCCTAGATGATCAAAATTGGGACCAGCCACTCCCTTCTGAGCCACTCCTGCCTCTGGGCCTGTGGCTATGTCACAGTCCAGTCACAACAGGACATCCCTTCAGAACACCCTGCAGGAAGCTGACATCTCTATGCAGACTCACACATGCACGGTGTGTGCACAGGCCTTTGGTTCTACTTCAGGAGGTGTTGGGGGAGGCTCACTAGTCCAACAGAACTTGAGGCCAGTTGTACCAGTGTCATATCCCAGGAGCCAAGGTTACAAGGGATACAAAGTGCCCAGACCTACCAGAGAAGGCAAACCCCTACAGCATGCAGGGCTAGACAGGGGCAAGAAACAAGGTCATTCTGGGCCAGCAAGAAGAGGGAAAGGGAAATGACAGGCATACCTCGGAGATACTGAAGATTTGTTTCCAGACCATAGCAACAAAGTGAGTCACACAAACTTTTTAGTTTCCTATTGTGCATAAAAGTTATGTTTGTACTATATTGTAGTCTGTTAAGTGTACAGTAGCATTGTGTACAAAAAACTGTGTATATACTTAATGGAGTCTCGCTCTGTCACCCAGGCTGGAGTGCAGTGCCACGATTTTGGCTCACTGCAACCTCCGCCTCCTGAGTTCAAGCCATTCTCCTGCTCAGCCTCCCAAGTAGCTGGGACTACAGGTGCCCATCACCATGCCCAGCTAATTTTTGTATTTTTAGTAGAGATGAGGTTTCACCATGTTGGCCAGGCTAATCTTGAACTCCTGACCTCAAGTGATCCACCCACCTCGGCCTCCCAAAGTGCTGGGATTACAGGCGTGAGCCACTGTATCTGGCCATATACTTTAATTTTAAAATACTTAATTGCTAAACAAATGCTAACAATCATATGAGGCTTCAGCTAATCCTGATCTTTTTGCTGGGGGAGGGTCTTGCCTCCATGGATCAGGGGCATGGCTGCTGAAGGCTGCTTTGACAACTTCTTAAAATAAGACAATGATGTTTGCCATTTGCCGCATGGATTATTCCTTTCAATATTGTTGTGCCTCAGGGAATAGGGAGGCCTGGAAAGCAGAGTCGGGAGAATGGCCAGTTGGTGAAGCAGTCACAACACACACATTTTTCCATTAAGTTTGCTGTCTTATATGAGCATCGCTCATGGTGTCCCAAAACAATCACAATAGTTAACTTCAGTAACTGATTACAGGTCACTGTAACAAGTATAATAATGAAAACGCTTGAAACATTTTGAGAATTCCACAGCGTGACATGGAGACATGATGTCTGCCTGCTGTTGGGAAAATAGCACCAATAGACCTGTTTGATGTGCTTGACACAGGGTTGCCACAAGCCTCCAATCTCTAAATAAAAAACAGCATCTGCAAAGAGCAATAAAGGGAAGCACAATAAAAGGTACATCTGCAAAGGGGAATCAGCACTTAAGCAAGGTCAGGATGAGCTTTCAAGTCAGGTGGACCTAGACATGAACCCTCCAGGCCCTACCAACAACCAGCTGTGGACCTTCGAGCACATCCAGCCTAGAGCTGCCCCCAACAGACACTTCCCCAGTGAATGCTGAATGAAACCATCTGAGCCAGTTTCCTCAGGTGCAAACCAGTGAGGTAATTCCTACCTTGCAGAGTGAAGTGAGAAAACAGTGTTAAGAAAAAGGCATGCCGGGTGCGGTGGCTCACGCCTGTAATCCCAGCACTTTGGGAGGCCAAGACGGGCGGATCACGAGGTCAGGAGATCGAGACCACCCTGGCTAATACGGTGAAACCCCGTCTCCACTAAAAATACAAAAAATTAGCCGGGCGTAGTGGCGAGCACCTGTAGTCCCAGCTACTCGGGAGGGTGAGGCAGGAGAATGGCGTGAACCCGGGAGGCAGAGCTTGCAGTGAGCCCAGATTGCGCCACTGCACTCCAGCCTGGGCAACAGAGCGAGACTCCGTCTCAAAAAAAAAAAAAAAAAAAGACACAAGACCTGTGGTAGCCTTTCCTTTCTGTCTGGCAGCAGCCACTGGGTAAACCAAGATGGTGCATACAAGTACATCCAGAAGCTATGGAAGAAGCAGTCTGATGTCATGAGCTTTCTTCTGAGGGTCCGCTGCTGGCAGTACCACCAGCTCTCTGCTCTCCACAGGGATCCCCGCCCCACCCAGCCCAATAAAGCACGCTACTGGGCTACAGCCAAGCAAGGTTATGTTACATATAAGCGCCACGGTGGCTGAAAATCTAGTTCCTAAGAAGGCAACTTAACAGCAAGCCTGTCTATCATGGTGTTAACCAGCTAGTTTGCTTAAAGCCTTCAGTCTGTTACAGAAGAGCAAGCTGGATGCCACTGTGGGGCTCTGAGTCCTGAATTCTCACTGGGCTGGTTAAAGATTCCACATACAAAGTTTTTGAGGCTATCCTAGTTGATCCATTCCATAACACTATCAGAAGGAAACCTGACACCCAGTGGTCCACAACAAGCATAGGGAGATGCGTAGGCTATCTGCAGGCCAAGAGAGCCACGGCCTTGGAAAGGGCTGTAAGTTCTACCACACTATTGGTGGTTCTCGCCATGCAGCTTGGAGAAGGTGCAATACTCTCCAGCTCCACAGCTACCGGTAATGTTTCTAAAATTCATACCTAATAAACACTAGATCAAAAAAAAAAAATCACAGACCTGTGGTAGGCTGGGCACCAGTGCTCTAAAGCAAGTTCTGCCTAAACTGGCAGGGACATTTTTCACATCAGGAACAGGAGTTGTTCCTGGACTCTGTCTGGGGCCAGGCTGGGAGAGACGTGGGGCAGAGTGGGGCAGGGGCAGGGGCAGGGCTGGGGGCTGGGGCCTGGGCAGGGCCAGGCACTCAAGTGAGGCCAAGTCCTGGAGCGAACCAGTTCCTGGTGGCCGTTGGACAGCTCACACAGCTCCCGGCCAGGTCACCCGCCATGGTCCTCCCTCTGCCCTGGCTCTCTCGGTACCATTTCCTTCGCCTCCTTCTGCCCTCCTGGTCCTTGGCACCCCAGGGCTCCCATGGGTGCTGCTCCCAAAACCCCAAAGCAAGCATGGAAGAGCAGACCAACTCCAGAGGAAATGGGAAGATGACGTCCCCTCCCAGGGTAAGTGGCACCACAGGTAGGAACAGAGGGTGTGAGAATTTACACTGGGGTGTGGGAAAAAAAAACCCTCAATCCCACCCTGCACCACCCCACACCATGCCTACCCCTGCAGCTCTTTTCTTAGTTCAGCTACCAACTCCTCTCCCCACCTCCCCCAGCCCAGACCTCAGGGTTCCCTTCCCTCACCCCACCCCCACCCACAACAGCACAGTCCACAAAGTCCTTGAACAGGATCTATTCCCCCTCACCTAACAGTTAATTATTTCTTAGCGGGGAGGAGCGGCTGATCCTCTTTCCAGTGACCCCATATCCTTGTTCAAGGAAGCCAGTTACAGCCCCTGGGCCAGGGAACTCTATTTGCTCCCCCTACTACCACCCAGAGGCCTATGCCCAAGACAGGAAGCTACCTGGCCTTCTCAGTACAGGTGTCCTTAAATGACCGGTTCAAAAACGAATAGGGAAGGTGGAATTTCTCACTTCCAGCCACAGCCTGCGACAAAGCTTCCCAGGGCCTCGGCCCCCTGCCCTGGCTGATGCTCCCTCCCTTAATTCCCTGACCAGGGCCCTGGGACCCACCGCACAGCTGAGCTGGCCCGAGCTGAAGAGTTGTTGGAGCAGCAGCTGGAGCTGTACCAGGCCCTCCTTGAAGGGCAGGAGGGAGCCTGGGAGGCCCAAGCCCTGGTGCTCAAGATCCAGAAGCTGAAGGAACAGATGAGGAGGCACCAAGAGAGCCTTGGAGGAGGTGCCTAAGTTTCCCCCAGTGCCCACAGCACCCTCCGGCACTGAAAATACACGCACCACCCACCAGGAGCCTTGGGATCATAAACACCCCAGCGTCTTCCCAGGCCAGAGAAAGTGGAAGAGACCACAAACCGCAGGCAATTGGCAGGCAGTGGGGGAGCCAGGGCTCTGCAGTCTTAGTCCCATTCCCCTTTGATCTCACAGCAGGCAGGGCACCCAGGCCTTATAGGAATTCACCCTGGACCATGCCCTAAAATAACCTCACCCCAAATACAATAAAGGGACGAAGCACTTATAGATACCACAGACACATGTGTTTCATTTTTAGTTTTGTTAAAAAAAAATTCTGACAAATCAGAAATGGGGGTTCAGGAGTGGTGGTGATGCAAAAGATGGAAGCCATGGGGTGGGGGCTGTCAGGGGTGGGGGCAGTAGTGTCTCCTTCACCCCCACCCTGGTGTCCTCTCCTGAAGGACAGACGGTCACATTCCAAAATGGGCGAGTCTTCTACCGTGTCTGTTCAACTGAGAAGAAAACGTAGCATGGTCAGAATAAGGCATGAAAAGGGGAAAGTGAGGCAGGAACACACGGCACACATGCAGACACTGGTGTACTGCCTGGGTTCAGAGGACGGACGTGGGGGTGAGGGAAGGGATGTAATATGATGAGAGAAGACAGAAACCCCACATAAAGGTCAGAAAAACATCCCAACACAGCATCAAAGACCAGGGGGCATGAACCAGTCAAGTGTCCATTATGCATCAGATGCCCATGACCTATGTGATGGGATTTAGGACAAACACACTAAGGAACAGGGAGGACCTAAAGGGTTTCATGAGATCAGTACTCACTGTAGGAGGAGATGTCTATCTCATCAGGCAGCTCACTAATATTGACCTCAAAGCGATCCTGCACATCATTGAGGATCTTGGCATCATTCTCATCGGACACAAATGTGATAGCCAAGCCCTTGGTGCCAAACCGGCCTGCTCTGGCCACCTGGAGGGAGACAGAGGGTAGCACTGGAAGACCGAAGAGGAAAGAGACCCAGAGGCAGGAATGAAGATGTACAAACAGAAAACAAGGGAATGGGAGAGTGGGATTTTTTCAGCCTGTGAGGTTTACCCGATGCAGGTAGGTGTCAGAATCCTCAGGCATGTCATAATTAAAAGCAATGTTCACCCGCTCGATGTCCATGCCTCGGCCAAATAGGTTGGTAGCCACAAGAATTCGTCGTTGAAAATCTTTAAACTGCTGATACCGAGAAAGCCTTTGTGAGAAAGGAAATTTAAAACATGTTGAGATTCCCTTCTCTCAACTGTCTTTTTCTCCCAAGGACACAAAATATCTTTCCCATCTTCAGCTCACCTCTCCTCCTGGGGCATCCCACGGTGGATGGCAATGGCTGGGAAGTTCTGCTCCACTAGTAGCTGGGCCAAGGCAATGCACCGCTGCACAGACTTCACAAAGATCACCACCTGTTGTGGGGTGGGGTGGGGGGTCGCAAATTGGGGGAATAGGGGTCCATGGTGTGTGAGAGACATTACGTGGGAGAGGGGAGTTTCTAGTAATTACGTTCTCAGGAATTCCTCTTCATTTCTCTTATTCCCCCACTATATATTTAGAGCAGAAAAGGAAATATAACTTTATTTCAGCACTGATTTTTCCCTAAGGAAGCTGGCCTCTGAGGTAGCACAGAGTTCAGAAATCAAAATTGCCAGACATGCTAGGAGATGAGGATGAGATCACCTCATGAAAAAGTGATAAAAAACTAGAATTAAGATCTGGAGGGGTAACTGATATTCCTGCTCACCAAAACATTAAACCTAAGGGAGCTATCCTAATTCTAGAAAGCAGTTTTAAATGCAAATAGACCACTCACAAGTATATTAATTAAACACTTTTTTGAGATGGGGTCTCACTCTGTCCCCCAGACTGGAGTGCAGTGGTGCAATCGCAAGTCACTGCAGCCTCCACCCTCCTGGGTTTAAGAGATCCTTCCACCTCAGCATCCCAAGCAGCTGGGACCACAGGTGCACACCACCACGCCCAGCTACTTTTTTTATTTTTTATTTTTACTATTTGTAGAGACGGGCGTCTCCCTATGTTACCCAGGCTGGTCTTGAAGTCCTGGGCTCAAGCAATGCTCCTGCCTCAGCCTCCCAAAGTACTGGGATTATGGGCATGAGCCACTGCCCTGCACCCAGTCAGAAATGCTTCTCTTGAATAAGCAGTTATTAGAGGAATTAAACATTCAAGAACCCTAACATGCCCCCAAACATCGTTTCAAGACTTTTAACAACTTCCTAAAATCCTTCAAGGACTTTTGGAGACAAGATCTCACTCTGTTGCCCAAGCTGGAGCACAGTAGTGCAATCATAGTTCACTGCAGCCTCAATTTCCTGGGCTCAAGCTATCCTCTCACCTCAGCCACCAGAGTATCTGGGACTACAGGCATACACCACCACACCTGGCTAATTTTTTTCTTCTTTGGTAGTGATGAAGTTTCGCCATGTTGCCCAGACTGGTCTCAAACTCCTGGACTCAAGTGATCCACCTCCCTCAGCCTCCCCAAGTGCTGGGATTACACACATAAGCCACCGTGCCTGGCCAAGGATCTTAATTTTTGAAGTTTATTTTCCTTGAGGTTATTGAGGACATACCCGTGCCAGCCATAGAATAGAAAAGCAGCTCCCACCTTACTCATGCTCAGCCCCTAAGATATTTATACCCTCATTATTCTCTCCCACATCACACATGTGATTTCCTCAATAAAAGTGTACTTAATATCCAGGTTTCTGCTACAGCTGGAGTGCTCCAATGCTCATCCCCCTACTGGACGTCTAACTGACCTGGTTGAACTCAAGGACATCCAGAAGGTCAAAGAGCTTCCGGTTCTTCTCGTTGTCCTTCAGTTTCACGTAGTACTGCTGCAACCCATGCAGCGTCAACTTCGTCTCATCATCCACGAAGATCTCCATTGGCTGGGGGGGAGGAAGGGGGTGGGGAACGGGAGGAGGGCAGAGTGGGGGGGTTAAACCTGGGGGGGTGGAGGAAGTTGATCTCCAATACACCCCATGGGGGGATGGGGAGGAAAGAGAAGATTGAAAACCCCACCCCACTCCCAAAAATACCCACATTTTACTGTGGTCTCTCTCACATTACATCTAATTTCCTTCCTATCAGATGAGTTTTAAGACTGCCCAACTAAAAACTATCATGGGAAAGAAACTGCAAATGAAGTCAAGGAGCAGTGAAACCACCCAATGGCACAGATGCCATTACCTCAAATAGAGGTGGGAGAGGAAAGAAAATGGGAGATGATTCTCAAAGGGAGAGCAAGGACCAAACATCTGGGAAATGATGGGAGGCAGTGACTCAAGGTCAGAATAACTCCATCAGAGGTGCTTCTAAGAACATGGGGTGGGGGGAGGACAACTGCTCCATTTGATTCTCCTACTTCAACTAAGAGAATCTCGTGTGCATTAGCAAAGTGGATGTCTTTTAAGATCAGAATGCTGCAATGGACAGTCAAAATGCCACTTAAGGAGAAACAAAAATTACTCAAGATGAGTTACTTGCCGTCAGACCACAACAGGATAGTTTTAGATGAGACTGGTCTCTTGACTAAGAATTAAACCATCTACAGGTTTACAGGAAAGGTATCAGTAAGTGGTGTTAAAATACCAAATTCAGAGCAGCAGATACGCTTTTAAGGGACAGGATCTCACCATGTTGCCCAGGCTGGAGTGCAGTGGCTATTCACTGGCACAATCATAGCACACTATAGCCTCAAATTCCTGGGCTCAAGTGATCCTCCTGCTTCAGTCTCCTGAATAGCTGGGACTACAGGCACACACCATTATACCTCACTGCATTCATCTTTAAAATTAAAAAACCCCCTGAAGGGGAGGAAAGTAACAAAGACAGAAATTACCACAACTCCAAAGCCCAACTTTCCTAACACTTTTTATACTATCCTGGGGGAAGATAGTTAATATGAAGACCCAGAGGACAAAATAGGAAAGGATGTGTGTGTCATGGGAAAAAAACCAGAAGCCCAATCCCAGAAGGCAGGTTTTGTTTTTTGTTTTGTTTTGATACAGGGTCTCACTCTATCACCCAGGCTGGAGTACAGTGGCACAATTACAGCTTACTGCCACCTCCACGTCCCGGGCTCAAGCAAACCCTCCTGCCTCAGCTTCCCAAGTAGCTGGGACTACAGGCATGCGCCACCACGCCCGGTTTTTCTGGTAGAGACAAAGTCTCACTACACTGCCCCAGCTAGTCTCAAATTCCTGGGCTCAAGCAATCCTCCCACCTTGGCCTCCCAAAGTGCTGGGATTAGAGGTGAGCCACCAGGCCCAGCCAAGGCAGGCTTTCTAAAGAGAAGTTCCATGGCCTCCTTCAAATCTCATTCTAGCCCCAAATACAGCTAAAGAGTGATCATCCCACGGGAAGAACACTGCAGGGAGGGGAAGAACACACTCCACTGCTTATGCAATTGGCCCCACCTAGCCCCAAACCCTAACAACCACCCGATTACATCCACTTTACCTTTCCTATGTCCCTCTCCTCTGAGTATTAAAAAAAACAAAAAAATTTTTTTAAGAAAAAAAATCTACCACCCCATTCAGGACACCCCTCCCCAACACATATTGGGGGAAACGGGGCACGGCACGCGTTGGGTTCAGGAAAAAAACCGGGAACGGAAAAAGAGGCTGGTTTGGTCCTCAGCTTCCTGGTCAGGTTTCCCCGCGGCCTCCGCTGCCGCCATCCACCGCTGGGTGCCGTCTGCATTCCCTCGCCGCGCCACGGTGCTTCTCTGTTGCCGGCTCACATCAACCGAGGTTCCAGATGGGTGCAAGGAGATGTGGGTGGGAAGGAGTAGGGTATCGGGGATTGAGGTGCCAAAGGCCCCCACCCCTGGAGGTGGGGAAGGGGAGGATTCATTTGTGCTGATGCTCTTCTTTTGGACATGCCCTGCCATCTGTCTGTCCCTCTCTTGCTCTCCTGCCACCGGGAAGTAGGAGTTTTGGTGAGCAGAAGGCTCCAGCTGTATGCTCGATGCCACCTTGAGGGTGCGTGGCTGTAGGGTGCATGTAAGAGACGATGGATGGGTGGGTGGTAGGGCAGAAAAATCCTGCCCTCCCCCGAAGGGAGAAGAGGTTCAAAAATGTTGTGATTTATGAAAAAGTCGAACACTACCCGCTCTCACATTAACCCGACCAAGTCTTCCGGAGTTTCCCTGGCACCCGCGCAGGCCCTAACACTAGCTGTCTCTGCTTCTGTATGTCTCTTCAAGGAGTCATTACTCCCAGTTGGGCACAAGCCGCCTTCTTGGCACTTGAATGACAAGGGAGTCTGAGGAAGAGGGCGAGGAAGGGGAGGAGGCAGCGGGCGGGGAGTGGAGGGAGAGAAGGTAGAAGGGTATTTACATCTTGCATGAACTTGCGGCAGACTGGACGGATCTCTTTGCTCAAGGTAGCACTGAACATCATGACCTGCTTCTCGTGGGGGGTCATGCGAAAAATTTCCTGGACATCCCGACGCATGTCTACAAGAACAAGGAAAAAAATTGTAGGAGAAAATAAGCAGGTATGATAAACAAAGATTAGAGGTAGACTTCCCAGTGAGGTGAAGATTGCTGGAAATAGTAACAACACAATGGAAAGAGCAATGGACTTGGAATCAAGAAGTGGGATCAGATTCCAGCTGTTTGTTTTAACCAAGCAAGAAATAAGGTAAAACCCCAAAGTTCCCAACTATGAAATGGGGATAAAGCCCAGTGCAGAGGCTCTCAAGGCCTTCAAAACATGCTTTATGGGACCTTCTCCCAACCCTTTCCTGCCCAAGCCCCAGCCAGCCTTCAGCAGACTACAAATATCAAGCACATATTATATTCCAGATATCAGAGTCCATCTATGACTCTCTGGATTACTTTTCTATCAAGTCAGGCAAATATGACATCCCTACCTGGAGCCCACCTTTACAGCTCACCATATAGAATTGCCAAAGATCATTTGTAATGACTTATGGGGCCTATGTCCAACCCCACTCTCATTCACCAAGATTCAATTCTTACAGAAAAATCTTCCATTAACCCCACCTGGCACACTAGAATACCACATCACACAAACTGCTACAAACACTCTCTACATTAATCCCAGACCTGAGTCTAGACACTTATTCAGCTATAAATTCTGACTGTAAATGCTGTGCTGGAGATGCCAGAAGGGTACTGTCTTCTCTTTCAGTTTAGAATCTCCCCTATGACTCCCAGTATATGAATCTATAATGAAAACGGTGGTGGTGGTGATGACTTATGCCTAAAATTATCAAAGTCCCCTATTCTCAAAGGTTAAAAACAAAAATCATAGAAAGATGATAGATGACACCCTTTACTGTGCTTAAAAGCATAATAAAGACCAACCAGGGAACCCAGAGCCATCAGTCATGGGTGATAGATAAGAGTCGTCCTTGCACTGAGGTGCTCCTGTTTCAAATAAACATCATTTGGCTCCAAAGAACAACTCCCCAGCATTAGCCAAGCCCCAGCACTGCCACTCACCGAGCTGTTCAAGCATCTTATCACATTCATCCAAAATAAAGTGTTTAATGTGTTTGAGGTTGAGGCTCTTATTTCGAGCCAGGGCTAGGATACGGCCTGGAGTCCCCACGACGATATGCGGGCAGTTCTTCTTCAGCACCTCTTCATCCTTCTTGATAGACAGACCACCAAAAAAAACAGCAACCTGCCGAGCCAGAAGCAAAGAGTCTCAAAACAGAGGAAGGAAAGAGTCCAATCCCCCCAGGGTTCCCACTCTGTTTGAGCTAAACCAATTTTTAGCATGTTTCCAAACTAAAACTAACTTTAGAGGTCACCTAATTTAAAAATTTTATGTCCCCCCCACCAAACACTGAGGGTGATTGCCTAAAGTTACATGGCTAGTCGGAGCAGTCAGGACAATAATTCAGTTCTACTGACTTAATCTAACCAACTTCCTTCATTTATGAGGCCAGGCTTCATTTAAAAAATAAAGGAGCCAGGTGTGGTGGCACACGCCTGTAATTCCAGCTACTCAGGAGGCTGAGGCACGAGAACCTGGGAGGCAGAGGTTGTGGTGAGCCAAGATCCCACCGTTGTACTCCAGCCTGGGCAACAAGAGTGATACTCCATCTCAAAAAGAAATAAAATAAATAAAAATAAAATAAAGCCAGGCCCAGTGGCTCACGCCTGTAATCCCAGCAGTTTGGGAGGTCAAGGAAAGTGGATCACTTGAAGCCAGGAGTTCAAGACCAGCCTGGCCAACACGGTGAAACCCCATCTCTACTAAAATACAAAATTTACAAATTTACTACTAAAAAACAAAAAATACAAAATTTAGCCGGGAGGCTGAGGCAGGAGAATCGCTTGAACCCGGGAGGTGGAGATTGCAGTGAGGCGAGATTGAGCCACTGTACTCCAGCCTGGATGACAGAGCGAGACTCCATCTCAAAAAATAAAAAATAAATAAATAAAGGACAGCAAGAAATCACCAGATTAGTGTAAAGTACCACAAAAAACACATGGAACATTAAGGTTTCCTAAATAAACCCAGAATCTCAAACTCTTTTCACACAAACCCCATGAAATTACTGCTTCGGGCTAAATATTATCATTTCATGTTAAAACCATTAGGTGAATAGTTGTTTGGGGATCTGGGCCTTGGTACAGTATCAAATAACACCAGAAACTACTTTCTGGTTTCAAGGGGGAAAAGAACAACTGTGGAATCAGACTGTCACGACGCTAATCCTATGGTAAATCTAAAATCATTAATGAGGCCAGGTGCAGTGGCTCACTCCTGTAATCCCAGCACTTTGGGAGGCCGAGGTGGGTGGATCACTTGAGGTCAGGAGTTCGAGACCAGCCTGGCCAACATGGCGAAACCCTGTCACTACTAAAAAAAAACAAAAATTAGCCAGGCATGATGGCACACTGTAGTCCCAGCTACTCGGGGGGTTGAGGCGGGAGAATCGCTTGAACGTGGGAGGCGCAGGTTGCAGTGAGCTGAGATCGCGCCACTACACTCACAGCCTGAAGGACACAGCGAGACTCCATCTCAAAACAAATAAATAAAAATAAAATAAAATAACTAACATAAGTCGACCAGATTTGTGGCATAACAGGAGATACAGCATCACCTATGAAGGATTCTTGCCAAAAATGCTTAACTTCAATCAGATTTTTTCTTTTTTTTTGAGATGGGAGTCTCACTCTGCCACCCAGGCTGGAGTGTAATGGCACAATCTCAGCTCACTACAACCTCTGCTTCCTGGGTTCAAGCGATTCCCCTGCCTCAGCCTCCCAAGCAGGTGGGACTATAGGTGTGTGCCACCATGCACGGCTAATTTTTGCATTTTTAGTAGAGAGAGGGTTTCATCCTGTTGGCCACATTGGTCTTAAACTCCTGACCTCAAATAATCCACACGCCTTGGCCTCCCAAACTGCTGAGATTACAGGTGTAAGCCATTGTGCACTTGGCCAGAATCCTCAATATTCACACACCACTGGAGCTGTTTTAAAGTTTCCGGCTTTCTCTGCCACATACCCCAAAATTATTAAACTGATATGATTCAAAGTCAGTATAAAGTAGTAAGAAAAGGGTGGTCTTGTGTTAAGCATCATCCATAGCCCAATTACGAATCCTCCTGTTACATAGGAACTCAACACTCTGTTACACCACAGCAAACTAAAGCTTCTCCAAAATTAAAGAGACTATTGGCCTACAAGTTTCTTATCCCTCCAACTTGCCACACCCTCACTCTCAGGTCTCTTTACCTTGGCTTACCTTGACATTGGGCATGTATTTAGAGAAGCGCTCATATTCCTTGCTGATCTGAAAAGCCAACTCCCGAGTGTGACACATCACCAGCACAGACACCTTAGGCAGGAAGTATACGGAGACATATGGTAAATGTAGCTCTTCATTATCCCCTCTAGGGAAGTGACTGTCACAAAAACACACCTGGGCCGATAATAAATGACTTCAATTCTGTGATCTAAATCATGAACCCCACGCTTGCGACAGAACATCCCCCACAGCTGTCAGGTTGTCAAGGGTAACAGAGGTCATGTGCTCATGGCTCTGCAAGCATCATGTAGTTAGGACAAAAACACCCTTCCCTTATAGTCCTAACCAAAATCCCCTCCCCAGCACTCTCCCCAAATATACCTGCCCAGTAACTGGCTCCAGCTGTTGCAGTGTGGCCAAGACAAACACTGCTGTCTTTCCCATGCCCGACTTGGCCTGGCACAGGACATCCATTCCCAGAATGGCCTGAGGGATGCACTCATGCTGGACTAAAAGTTGGGGGGGGAGGAAGATAAATTAGACTTCAGTCTCCAGATAACTCTACCTTTTTCACCATGCCAAGCCCATTTCTTACCACTCAATTCTCAAAGTCTAGTATTTACCTGGTTCTTGCCAACTTCCAGACCCATTTTACCTCTCTCTGCTCAATTACATTCACCTCAAAATCAGACTCTCCTAATTCCTCCTAGCTTTAGCCTCCTCCAGATCTAGGCCTTCCCAGTCCTAGTAACAAACCCCTTGCATCTACCAACCGCTCACCTTCAATGATCCTAGCTCTGTCCTTATTTTTCTTAATCTGTAACAATTCATGACATTTGAATACCTGCCACAGACCACTTCTCCTGCTTAGGTTGCTATACTTCGGGTCACGTAACTACTACAACCCTGGACAAAATGAAGGACTTGGTACCTGACCCAGAAGCCAGTCATCTCTAAACCAGTCATAGAGGTTTCCAGAGACCACAGTTGGCCTGGCCCAACAGAGGGAGACTACAGGTCCAAGCAGGACCTTTCTGGAAATTTAAAATTAGAAGTCAAGTGACAAAATTAAAAATAAGCAGACAAGAAAAGCCAGTCACAAGAATGAATGGCAGACCTGGAAGTCACTTTTGGATCATTAGCACTTTGGTGCTATCACGAAAGAAAGAATAAGCCTGTATAAGCCTCCTCTATCCAAAATTGTTTTTGATACTTATCCCAATTTTTTCTTCCTCACTGTCGCCCCGGCTGGTGCACAGTGGTGCAATCACGGCTCACTGAAGCCTCAACCTTCACCTGCTTAATTTCTGAACGTTTTGTAGAGACAGGAGTCTCGCTATGTTGCCCAGGCTTCTCTTGCACTTTTGAGCTCAAGTGGCCACCCTCCTGCCTCAGCCTCCCAAAGTGCTGGGATTACAGGCGTGAGCCACTGCACCTGGCCCTGATCTAGCCTTAAGTATAAACCCTTACCACCACCTGAGCAACGACAAACACATCTTTGTATTGTACCCTTAAAGAGCCCAATGAGCACTACATGCCCAAGAGAAAATTTACCTTCTGACGGATGCTCAAAGCCACAGTCGACAATGGCCCGGAGCAACTCTGGCTTGAGCAGGAAGTCACGAAAGCCAGAGCTGTGGATGGAGACATAGGAGCCCTTGACATCCTTCTTGGCAGGGGCCTCAGCCCCATCTCCCCCAGCTGCTGTCTCCACCTCATCATCTTCATAGTCCAAGAGCTCATTGTCCACATCGTTCTCTGCCATAACTGGGCCGGCAGGGGAAGAAGGGAAGGGGGATCTGGATGGGTTCTCGCAAAATAGGTGAAAACAAGGGGTGAAGAGTAGGGGATTGAGGAACAGCAAAGGAAAACAAAGATACTATTTCTAACAGAAGAGCTGGAGGGGGGAAAAAAAAAGCAAGACTTAATCACGACCTCTTTTCCATCCCCAGTTCCCACTTTCCCTAAACCAGGAAACTTTTACCTGGAAAGAAAAACAGATACAAAACATAAAAACGAAAAGCAAATATAACAGAACAGAAAAAGCAGTACCAGGGAAAGTGGTTAGGACAGAGGTTCCCAACAAGATTAGCAATCACAGTAGCGGAAACCAGAAAAGTTGGAAGGGGAAGACCAACTTATAAATTCTTGATCTGAAAGTAACAGTGAGGAAATAGAATAGATAATAAAAGGTAAAATATGACTAATAACTTAGTAAAGTGGAAAATGGAGATGACAAGTAGAGTCCTGAAAAGTCCTCAAAGGAAGACTCCGCTTTCCCTATTATAATCCCACCGTTATGGATGCCTAACTCAGCAGCCATCAGTCAAGGGTGATAGATGAGGGTCATCACTGCGCAAAGCGCTCACCTTTCGAAAAGAAAACATCATATGGCCGCCGTCCACCTCCCATAGCTCTCAGCCTCCCACTTCTCAGTATCCTCCCTTCCGCTGTTTAAGCAAGCCTTGTGTAATTAGCATGGGGGGGAGGGGCGGTGCAAGACAAATGGCTCGGCCACAAAAAAACAAAATTCATGTCTCCACCCTACAATAAGAAAGCTAATAGGTGACAGAGAAAGGCAATCCCCGCCCAGGCTTTAACAGGATCTTTACCAAGTGGTCTCACATCACTGTTACGCTACGAAGGTGAGACTCCTTTTGGAGAAACATACAATGACACCAATCGTATCGTAAACACTTGGAAGGCACTCCAAATTAAGTTGGGCAAGTCAAGGTGAGAAAAATCCAACTGGGCCCAGAAACCAGCTCCTCCTCCCAGTCCCACCGAGGGCCGAAAAAGAGCTCAAGAAAGAACAAGGAAGGTGAGAAGAGCCCCGCCCTCCGCAAATACCAAGACCAAGGGACGCCGAGCACCGCCTCTCATTGATGCTGAGGCCTCCAATATGAGAAGAACCCATTGGAAGAAGGGAGCAAAACGAACACAATGGCGCCGAGGACACCATCTTGGATTGGGTCCCCCCTTAGCTTCCCTTCCTTCCCCCAGGAGCTCTTTGCTCTCGAAAGGGATGCAAGCTAAGGAAATAGCGAACCAACTAGGCCCCAGCGACCAGACCATCGCCTGTGAAAAGGGTATCAGGAACCCATGTGACGGGATGGGTGCGGAGAAGCGCAGATGGAAACGGATTGTAGCGAAGGCCAAAGCTTACCTAAACAGGGAGAGCGCGTATGGCGGCAGCAACAGCGACGAAGGAGGGAAATCTGCCTTCACTTCCGGTTGCAGGCTTCCCTCTACTCCAGCCTCCCGCCTTCTTGGCTGCAAGAGCGCAGGCGCAAGGGACCGGAAACAGGGCCTTCCGCGGTTATACAGATCCGTGCGCTCCAGGCTTGCCTTTGGAAAATGCCTGTCTGAAATTTGTTTTAAAACCGTTTCTAACTTCACTGCTACCGCCAGTAACAAAAGATATAAAGGAAACTAACGTCTGCCCCCCACTGTTATCTTTATTCTCTTATCCTACTCCTCTCCATGCCCCTCATCTCTTCGTTTAGGTTTTTGCCACGCAGGTCTTCTCTGTAGGCACCCCTCCGTGGATGCGCGAGGAACGAGTGTGGCGAAGGCTGCGAGTTCCCACGGGGTCCTTGGCCCGGTAGTGAAGGTGACCTGAGGACTGCTGGGCACGCACTAGGAACCGGCAGGCCCTAGCTGAGGGGAGGGAGGAGGGAAGTCTCAGGGAACTGGATTGCTCGGGGGTGTTTCCCGACTCTTTCCCAGTCGTGGGGCTGGTGGGCGGTATTTTCCCAAAAGGATGCTGTCCGAGGTAGCTGATGCCCTAGGGCCAGTGAGTCAGGAAGGTGTTCTGAATCCGAGCGGGAAGACGGGGTCTGGATTCGGCCCCAAGTGTTAATAGTAGGGCTTGAGGGTTATACTACATTCCATTAATACTGTTTTTGTTTTTGTTTTGAGACAGAGTCTCGCCCTGTCGCCCAGGCGGGAGTGCAATGTCCTGATCTCGGCTCACTGCAACCGCTGCTTCCCGGGTTCAAGCGATTCTCCTGCCTCAGCCTCCCGAGTAGCTAGGATTACAGGCGCCCGCCACCACGCCCAGCAAATTTTTGTTTTTTTAGTAGAGACGGGGCTTCACCCATGTATGACCTCAGGTGATCCACCCACTTCGGCCTCCCAGAGTGCTGGGATTACAGGCGTGAGCCACCGCGCCCGGCCCATTAATACTGTTAATTCGAGCAGAATGTTCTTGGCCCCGCCCCAACAGCCCCATTGTTCAACCTGGATTTTTTTCCTGAATGAAACATTTGCTATCCCCGTCTTTGAGATGGGGAGCCACAAAAGTAAGACCTGATGTCCTGCTGTGTAATAAAACAACAAACGTTTGGCCCTCTCCCTGTTAGCATACTTAATCATTTAATACTAAGGAGTAGGTACCGTTATTCTCATCTTATTGACAGAAGCGAAGCAAAGCAACATATCTCAAGCAGTACGGCTGGTGAGGTTACAGCCAGGATGCAAACATCTCTCATTCTCTATTGTATTCTGCCTCCCTGCTCAAAGAATCTGGTTAGTAAATACACTGCAGGTTACCTTATTGGTTCAAATTCTTGGTGAAGTAAGCTTGTCTTCAGTGACAAATGAAGTAACTAATTCAAGAATGGTGTCATAGAAGGTATTTTCCCAAGTATCATTTAATTTATTCAAAAGTATTTATCAACTGCCTCCCTTGTGCCACATGTTGTCCTAGGATCTGGGGACACAACGGTGAACAGCCCTGTTCTCACAGTGTTTACATTACAGGAAAGAAAACACATAAACACAAATATAATGTCAAGTATCGATAAGTGGTCAGGGTGCAGTGGCTCAGGCCTGTAACCCAACCCTTGAGGAAGCCGAGCCCGAAGGATTGCTTGAGCCCAGGAGTTTCAGACCAGCCTGGGCAAGTGAGACCCCATCTCTACAAAAAATTTTAAAATTAGCAAGGCATAGTGGCACTCGCCCGTAATCCCAGCTACTCAGGAGGCTGAAGTGGGAGGATCATTTGAGTCCAGGGGGTCAAGGCTGCCGTGAGCTGGAACTCCAGCCTGGGCAACACAGCAGGACCTTGTCTCAAAAAACCAGTAGCAGTAAGTGCTATGAAGAAAATGCAAGGTAAAGGGGCAAAGAGCACTTGCTCCTACACTCCAGCTTTTCTCTACAGTTGCGATCTATAGTCCTCAGATTCCCAAATGAGGAACCATGTTTCTCACTTTAGAGAAATAATAAAGTACTACTTGTTCTTGTTTCTCCAAGAAGTTTCAAAGGATAGCCATTTGGGCTGTTTAGGGAATATGTAAACAAAAAACAAGAAAGTGACTGAAGGCCAGGCACAGTGGCTCACACCTCTAATCTCAGCACTTTGGGAGGCCAAGGCAGGTGGATCACTTGAGGTCAGGAGTTTGAGACCAGCCTGACCAACATGGCGAAACCCCATCTCTACTAAAAATACAAAAAATAGCCAGGCGTGGTGGCACACACCCATAATTCCAGCAACTTGGGAGGCTGAGGCAGGAGAATCGCTTGAACCTGGGAGGCAGAGGTTGCAATGAGCTGAGATCACGCCATTGTATTCCAGCCTGGGCAACAAGAGCAAAACTCCATCTCAAAAAAAAAAAAAACAAAGTGACTGAAAATGAGAAATGATGAGGCAAAAGGAGGCTGCTTCAACTCACCAATTTATTTGCCAATAATTATTTTATTGATACTTTTTTTATTGTTACAATGGGAAAGTAAGGTGTCAAGGATATAGAAAGGAAGGGCATGCATATGAGGGAACACAGTATCATTTTAGATCTTAGAAAGCAATGAGCATCTGATAAGTCTTTGGGGAAATAGGAAAGGAGGAAAATCTAATAAAGACAAAGATCAGCAAAAGAAAAACAAAGAGAGGCTACAAAATGCAGTTATCTACCTGGAATTATAAGAGAGGGGCTAAATGTAGTCATCTCCTCTTTTTGGAGATCAGAAGGTCTCTGGGAAAAGAGAAGAACCAATTTTTCAGAAAATAACTAGGGTCACAGAATGAACAAGTGGAATTAGAGAGCCAGTGATGGACGTGAGGAAACAGCTGTGTAGGTTTTGACCAGTGAGCAGGTGGTGGTAATAGTATCACAGGGTTGCTACTTACTGAATCACTGCTACAACATGCAAGGAACTGTGCTAGACTTTACAGAATGATTCCTAATCATTGAAGCAACCCTCACAAGGTAGGCATTATTATCATCCCAGTTTCACAGAGGAGGACATCGAGGCTACCAAGTTAAGTAGCTTGTCCTGGTTTCACAGCCAGCAAGTGACAGGGTCAAGAGAGGGACCCACATCGGCCAGACACTGAAGTCAGGATGTTTTCCACATTCCTACTTCCCCATATTACAAATTTCACAGAGGGTTTAGGTGAGAATGACTTGGAAGTTTACAAAGTCCCAGTGAGGGTTAAAGAACAACAAGGAGATTCAGATGTGAGCAGGATATTTATAAGTGTCACAGGAAAATTATTGGATCCTGCCTCCCAGGATTTCTAGGGGATGGAAAGAAGACAGGGATTATGGTGGGAGGTGATTTTGATTGGAGGATTTCTTTGAGGGAGGGAACTGGCAGAAGGAGTCAGGCCCTACGGTGGCCCTAGGCAGAAATCCGGTAGTTGGGGTGGACCTGGGGCCTGACGTCGCAGACCATGCCAAGAAGCTGGGCCAGGACACGCTCTCGGTTTCTCTGCTGGGAGCTCTGCATGCCCTGCACCTGGCGCCTTGTAGCCTGCTCCACCTCAGCAGACAGGTTCCCCTGGGAGCCCATGGCCTGGGGGGTAGGGAGAGGGGTGGAAGAGAGAAAGGGAAAAGCAAAAACAGACAAGGGTCCAGGCATATGAGGGGAAAGATCCTGAAACAAAGCCTAGAAGAAAGGCCCTCTCAGAAACCACCCCCATCCCACAGAAATATCCCAACACCAAAGAGATCAACACAGTCCCCTTTCCCCTTAGACCTAACATGCAACTTCATCCTAAAACAGACCGTAATATCCCCACCACCTCACCATCCATGACCATAAAACTCTACCCTCCACCACAAATGTTAATCATACTCCACATAGATGTTATACTTTACACAGACTGTGGCATTCCGCCCACAAGCTCTATGTGGCCTTCAAAACTCCCAGACTCTCCTACATATCATCACAAAGTTTCACCAATGTTGTGGTCCCTGCCAGGGTCCCCTCAGCCTCAGCCCTCTGCCACCATATTTTCTTGTTGAGTCACCCTTACACACCTCACTAGATGCACCCACCAACTTGCAGTGGGGTCTCATCCCGACTCTGCCTCAACTCACCGCCTGCTGCTTGCTCTGGAATTCGTGCTCTCGCTCTCTGCGGTATTGCTCCACCTCCATCTGTGCCTCCTCCTTTGCCTGCTTCAGTCGCCGGGCCTTCCCTGGAGGCAGAAGAAAGGACAGTGAGTGGGGATGGACCCACACACACACAATGTAATAGCAGGAGTCAGTCCCTTCCAGAAAGTTATACAGCCTTCTCTCAGCCAACCAGGTGCCAGATTCTAATATCCATCCATTTCTTCCCTCCTAACCAGCCTCCAGACCCTAGCTGTCTTCCCGCCAGCCTTGGGTTTTCCCAAAATGTTTGCTGTCCCCCACCCCCAATTTTCTTTCCAAACTCCTAAGGGAGGAAAGAGGAGACTCACTCTTTCTGGCATCTGCCACCTTCTCAGCTGCCCGCTTCTCAGCTTGCAGAAGCTGCTGGATACCTTGGGACTGACTGGCCATTTCTGTTGTTATGGCCGATGCTGTTTTGAATGCTGTCAAAGTACCAGATGGCTCCCACCCCCCACCGCTTACTTCTCCTCCTCCAGCTCGTTGCTGCAGTCCTCCACTACCCCTGGGTCTTAGTGCTCCCCTGCTCACTCAGCCTCCTGCACCGAGTGTCTCTCCCAATCTCATCCTCCTATTGATGACTGGTCCTCCTCTCCAGCACTTCTTGCTCAGGCAGTACCCAAAGGGGCCGCCTGGGAGCAGCAGAGACCAGGCCCAAAGCTGCGGGCTTACAACAGGTTAGCCATCCCAGTCGGAAAGGTCTAGGGATGAGGCAGGGGCGGAGACGGGGGAGTACTGAGGTGAGAGAAGGAGAACTTGATTGGTGGTAACAGAGGAAGCATAAAGGGTTGTGAATGCGGTGAAAAGGTAAGGATGTCATCATGCAACCTGTGTTGGGAAAAGAGCATTCTGGGCTTAATTCTAAACTAACTCTCTACCTTTCTCTCTCTCTCCACCATCCCGCCCCCTCCCCTGCCTCCCGTTGTTAACATCTCCATCTTTTTCTACATATTTCTCAAGTCCAAATTTTTGCATCTCACTTGCCCCATCCTACGATAGTCTTCTTCCGTCTTTTGTCTGTATTTTTTCTTTTTTTTGATCTGTCCCTGTTGTTGTCCCACTGTGGTTTTTGTTTTTGTTTTCCATGTTTAATGTGATTTTTATCCTGTCTTTATCTCCTCTATTTTCTCTGTCTTCTCATCTTTTCGTCCATCACTGAACCATCTCCTCTCTCTGCCAAGTTAGAGGAGGCGGGAAAAAACCTCCAAATAACTCTCTTTTCTCCCTCCCCTCCCCTCGCCTCCTTTTCCTCGCCTCCAGTCCAGTCTTCTGGTTTCAGACGGCCCCTTTAATTTAAGTTCCCTAGTTTCCCCTGGGAGATCTGGCCAAGAACTACCCGGTCGGGGCGGAACGACATCCGGTAACGCCCCTCACAGTTCACTTCCGTCCTCCACCTGCGTCTCTGCTTGCGCCATTTCCTCCAGCCTGGAGTGTCTCCGCCCTTCCCGCCTCCCGTCTCCGAGCTTCTTAAACACAGGCCTTGGGCCTACGGCTCTGGGGGTACTTGGGGGGGCGGGGGCAGGTCTGATGAGTAACCCCTCCCCCCAGGTTCCAGAGGAAGAAGCCTCCACATCTGTCTGCCGGGTACATGATATTCAATTTCTAGATCATTATTGGAGATTATCTGTGACTTTTTAAAACTCAGATTTCTGCTGATAAAAATTTTCCCCATCCGGCCCTGTTGGGTTTTTTTAAAGTTCTTTGTTAAAAATTAAAAATTTACCTGGGCTCCTGAGCCTTAAACCAATTATTTACCCTTTTCTCGAATTTTACATTAAAAAAATTAAACCTCTGATCCTATCACCCCCCTCAAAAAAAATTTTTTTTCAAATCTATCATCTGATAAAGGATCAGGGTTAGGTTAGGCCTCATCTCTTGCTGAAGATATTAAAAAAAGACGGAACCAAAGGGAGAAACAACAGGGGATGTCAGAGATGGAGGGAGAAGGACCAGCCAAGGCTGAAGTCCTGACTGCTGCCTTTTTTCCTTCCCCAGCCCAAGAGTTCCATGGCCTCCACTTCCCGCCGCCAACGCCGAGAACGTCGCTTTCGTCGTTACTTGTCTGCAGGACGGCTGGTCCGGGCCCAGGCCCTCCTCCAGCGACACCCAGGCCTCGATGTAGATGCTGGGCAGCCCCCACCACTGCACCGGGCCTGTGCCCGCCACGATGCCCCTGCCCTGTGCCTGCTGCTTCGGCTCGGGGCTGACCCTGCCCACCAGGACCGCCATGGGGACACGGCACTGCATGCTGCTGCCCGCCAGGGCCCAGATGGTGAGTCTGCTCAGTGGGGAACAAGGTCATAAGCAGCTGACCAGACCTGAAATGAAAGCCAACCAATAGTTGAGAAATAAGCTGGTTATTTGGTCATCAGGACCTAGGGAAGGAGTTAACCAAGTTGGCATGTGGCTGTCATTTGTCCCTTTACATTACTGAGCTACCATTGTCTGAAGAACCCAACATTCCCCAAAGATCAACTGGTCTTCAAATTTCACATCTGTTTAGATTAGTAGCTACTTTGTTTCTTGACAGATTGTTTGCTCGTAGCCAAAAAGTAGCATAGAAGGTAGGCTCTGGAGTTAGATTGCCTGGATTCAAACCCCAGCTCCAAATCCCAGCTCCACACTTCATAGCTACGTATTCTTGGACAGGTTACTTGAGGCTTAGTTTGCCCATGTGTAAAAATTAAAATAATAACAACCTTTGCTATGTGCCAGACATTTCTTATAAAGTAACACATTTAATCCTCACAACAATCTTAGGAGGTGAGTACTGATATTATCCCCCATTTCCCAGCTGAGGAAACAGGGCATAGAGAAGTCATTTGCCAGAGTTACAGTTATTCACTGGTAGAGCAGAGATTATAACCCAGATGGACTAGATAGAGTGTCCATGCTTTTAACAGCTACATTGTCCTGTGTTATACATTATAGCATTGTACATTGATTGTGCCCATGTTCAGAGTACCCATGTTGTGCCATATATGTTTTGAGAATCAACTGACATAGTACATAATTAGAGTACCTGGCACACACGATAAGCACTTGGTATATGCTGGCGATTGTTGTTCCTGTTTCTCTGTTTTTTGTTTTTGTTTTTGTTTTTTATGAAGTTTCACTCTTCTTGCCCAGGCTGGAATGCAATGGTGCGATCCTGGCTCACTGCAACCTCTACCTCCCAGGTTCAAGTGATTCTCATGCGTCAGCCTCCCAAGTAGCTAGGATTACAGGCGCATGCCACCACGCCCAGCTAATTTTTATATTTTTAGAAGAGATGGGTTTTCGCCATGTTGGACAAGCTGATCTTGAATGCCTGACCTCAGGTGATCCACCAACCTCAGCCTCTCAAAGTGCTGGGATTACAGGTGTGAGCCACCACACCTGGCCTTGTTCCTGTTTTTGTTATCAACAGGTCCATACTCCCTTAACCACAATTCTAAACTCAAAAACACTCTGAGAACCAACATTTTTCATCAGGCTGCCACCAAAATTCATTTGGTGACAGAAACCTAATCTGAACTAAAGTAAGACTATTATTTATTTTCATCCTACTGATGTCAATATTCATACATTTCCCTGCAGAAACACTCATGTGTTTGGTTCTTGGGCTGCCTAGGCCCTCCTGGGCTACCTAATATAGAGTGAGTGTACTTTTAGGTCAGCCCTATCAAGTCCCAAAAACATTTGAATTCTGCAAAACCTTTGGCACTGAAGGATTCAAATGGGGAACCTGGTGATATTATAATAGTGGTGGAGGCCAGGTGCGGTGGGTCATGCCTGTAATCCCAGCACTTTGGGAGGCCAAGGCAGTCAGATCACGAGGTCAGGAGTTCGAGACCAGCCTGACCAACATAGTGAAACCCCCATCTGTACTAAAAATACAAAAATTAGCCAGGCATGGTGGCACACACCTGTAGTCTCAGCTACTTGGGAGGCTGAGGCAGGAGAATCACTTGAACCCGGAAGACAGAGGTTGTGGTGAGCCGAGATTGCACTACTGCATTCCAACCTGGGCAACACAGCAAGACTCCGTCTCAAAAAAAAAAAAAAGAGTGGTGGAAGCAGCTCTTTATAGGTAGAGCCCTGCTTACTAGAATAAAAGCTGAAACCTTCTTTCCCCATCTAGAGATTTCCTTCTGGAGTAAGAACATTACAGGAAAACCTCTAGATCCAGATGAACAACCCTAACATCCCCCAGCTCAAGTATAGACAGAAGGCCCCTCCCCCAAAACTCCCCCAAATGGTCAAAAAACCCCCTATTTAAAAATTTCCTTTAACGTACCTGAGATAGGCTAGCATATTCAGATTTGTTTCTTGTTGTTTTTACTTAAAACAGAGTAGGTTTACTGAGTGCAGGCATCTAACTTGACAGCTCATATTGTAAGAGGCAGGACCCTGGAAGGCAAAAGAGCGGATTACCCCGAAGCAGACCTGCATCCAGACCCCAGCTCTGCCATCAACAGGGACATGCAGCTTACCTCTGTGAGCCCAATTTGCCTCGCAAAAATGGGAGTTTTGTTTTTTGTTTTGTTTTGTTTTTTTGAGATGGAGTTTCCCTGTTGTTGCCCAGGCTAGAGTGCAATGGCGCGATTTCAGCCCACCTCAACCTCTGCCTCCTGGGTTCAAGAGATTCTCCTGCCTCAGCCTCCCAAGTAGCTGGGATTACAGGCATGCACCATCACGCCCGGCTAATTTTGTATTTTTGGTAGAGACGGTTTCTCCGTGTTGGTCAGGCTGGTCTCAAACTCCCGACCTCAGGTGACCTGCCAGCCTAGCCTCCCAAAGTGCTGGGATTACAGGCGTGAGCCACCGCGCTCAGCCAAAATGCCCCTGATAGTGTGGTAGGGATTTCCTTTATTGTTTGTTTGCTTGTTTGTTTTGAGACAGGGTCTCATTCTGTCTCCCAGCCTGGAGTGCAGTGGTGCAATCATGGCTCACTGCAGCCTCTACCTCGTGGGCTCAAGCAGTCCTCCCACCTCAGCCTCCCTAGTAGCTGGGACTACAAGCACACACCACCATGCCCAGCTAATTGTTTGTATTTTTGGTAGAGACTGTTTTGCTATGTTATCCAGGCTGTTCTGCATCTCCTGAGTTCAAACAGTCTGCCCACCTCGGCTTCCCAAAGTGCCGGGACTAGAGGCGTGAGCCACCACACCCAACTCCATTGTATTGAATTTTAAGAAGCTGGTGAGACTGATATTATCCCATTTACAGATGAGGAAAGCAGGGCCCAAAAGGTTCGGGAACTTGTCTGAAATCTCACAGCTCTCAGGTCATTGTCTTCCAAAGGGGGACCCAAGCTCAGTGCCTTCACTCCCAGACCCTGGTGTCCTCTCTGGCCTTATTTACTCCTGGTCCTCTGCCAGCCCTGCCACCAGATGGCCTTCTAACTCCTTGGTTGAAAGGCCCATCTCATTCAGCTTCCAGCTTCCTTTTTCTTTTCCTTTTGAGACGGAGTCTTGCTTTGTCGCCCAGGCTGGAGTGCAGTGGCATGATCTCGGCTCACTATAACTTCTGCTTCCTGGGTTCAAGCGATTCTCCTGCTTCAGCCTCCCAAGTAGCTGAGATTACAGGCACACACCACCATGCCCAGCTAATTTTTTTATTTTTATTTATTAATTTTTAAATTTTTATTTGTTTATTTATTTTTGAGACGGAGTCTCCCTCTGTTCCCCAGGCTGGAGTGCAGTGGCAGTATCTTGACTCACTGCCACCTCCGCCTCCTGGGTTCAAGTGATTCTCCTTCCTCAGCCTCCTGAGTAGCCGGGACTACAGGAGCCTGCCACCATGCCCGACTAACTTTTGTATTTTTAATAGAGATGGGGTTTCACCATGTTGGCCAGACTGCTCTCGAACTCCTGACCTTAGATGATCCACCTGCCTCGGCCTCCCAAAGTGCTGGGATTACAGGCATGAGCCACCATGCCCGACCTAATTTTTGTGTTTTTAGTAGAGATGGGGTTTCAACATGTTGGCCAGGCTGGTCTCAAACTCCTGACCTCAAGTGATCCACCCACCTCAGCCTCCCAAAATGTTGGGATTATAGGCATGAGCCACCGTGCCCATCCCACAGAATGTCTTTTGGTTTTGTTTTTGTTTTCTGTTTTGTTTTGTTTTGTTTTGTTTGAAAAGGAGTCTCATTCTGTCGCCCAGGCTGGAGTGCAGTGGCACAATCTCGGCTCACTGCAACCTCCACCTCCCAGGTTCAAGAGATTCTCCTGCCTCAGCCTCCCAAGTAGCTGGGACTATAGGCGTAGGGACTGTAGGCGTATGCCACCACGCCTGGCTAATTTTTTGTATTTTTAGTAGACACGGGGTTTCACCATGTTAGCCAGGATGGTCTCGATCTCTTGACCTTGTGATCTGCTCACCTCAGCCTCCCAAAGTGTTGGGATTACAGGCGTGAGCCACAGCGCCTGGCCAAAATGTTTTTATGTTTATTTTTCTTAGTATGAAACTCCAGCGTATTAAAGAGCATTGAGAACGGTTGATCTGGTAAATCGCTATAAAGGCGGCATTTCTTTTTTTTTTTTTTTTTTTTTTTTTTTGGCGAAGTGGGGGATGGAGTCTCATTCTGTCGCCCAAGCTGGAGTGCAGTAGTGTGATCTCGGCTCACTGCAAGCTCCGCTTCCCAGGTTCAAGCCATTCTCCTGCCTCAGCCTCCCAAGTAGCTGGGATTACAGGCGCCCGCCACCACGCCCAGCTAATTTTTTGTATTTTTAGTAGAGACAGGGTTTCACTGTGTTGGCCAGGCTGGTCTCGAACTCCTGACCTCATGATCCGCCCGCCTCGGCCTCCCAAAATGCTGGGATTAGAGGCGTGAGCCACCGCGCCAGGCCTAAAGGGGGCATTTCTAATACTGGAGAAAGGTGAACTTTTTTTTTTTTTTTTTTCCGAGACAGAGTCTCGCTGTGTCACCCAGGCTGGAGTGCAATGGCGCAATCTCAGCTTGCTACAACCTCCGCCTCCCGGGTTCAAGCAATTCTCCTGCCTCAGCCTCCTGAGTAGCTGGGCACCTGCCATCATGCCCAGCTAATTTTTGTATTTTTGTAGAGATGGGGGTTTCACCGTGTTGGCCAGGCTGGTCTTAAACTCCTGTCCTGACCTGAGGTGATCCACCCACCTCAGCTTCCCAAAGTGCTGGGATTACAGGCATGAGCCACTGTGCCTGACCAGGTGAACTATTTTATAAATAATATTGGAACATTTGGCTCATCTAGGGAAAAACAAGAGTCCCACCTCACACCTAATCAAAAAGTAAATTCCAGCAGATTAAATACCTGAATATGACAGGAAGGTACACACCAAATTCATGGGACAGATGGCCTGGGGAGGAATGAAACTTGGAAGGCGGTATCACGGTAAACTACCTTTATCTGTGATGATTTTATTTCCTTAAAATAAATTATACTACAAACATGACAGTACATTAACAAACCCTGTGGTAGGAATGGGGTTGTGTATTGTATTATACTTTGTATTTTTGAGAGTTTTTTAATTTCTTTTTTGTTGTTGTTGAGACAGAGTCTCACTCTGTCACCCAGGCTGGAGTCCAGTCGCGCAATCTTGGCTCACTGCAACCTCTGCCTCCCGGGTTCAAGCAGTTCTCTGCCTCAGCCTCCCAAGTAGCTGGGATTACAGGCATCCGCCACCACGTCAGGCTAATTTTTGTATTTTTAGTGGAGACGGGGTTTCACCATCTTGGCCAGACTGGTCTTGAACTCCTGACCTCATGATCCACCCACCTTGGGCTCCCAGAGTGCTGGGATTACAGGCATGAGCCACCGCGCCTGGCCGAGTTTTTTAATTTCTAAAAATAAAAATGAGTATACATCTAAAGTAGTAGAAGAAAATGCAGAGAATGTTTTATAATCTTAAAATAGAGCCTTCCTAAGAGTGAAGTGAAATAAAAAGTCAGAAAATAATATATTGATATAGATTTAACTACATGAAAATTTTAGGCCGGGTGCGATAGCTCACACCTGTAATCCCACACTTTGGGATGCCAAGGTAGGCAGATCACTTGAGCCAGGAGTTCAAGACCAGCCTGAACAACACAGTGAGACCTGGTCTGTACAAAAAATACAAAATTAGCCAGGCGTGGTGGTACGTGGCTGTCGTCCTGTAGTCCCAGTTACTCAGGAGGCTGAGGTGGGAGGATCGCTTGAGCCCAGGTGGGGCAGAGTTTGCAGTGAGCAAGATCATGCCACCGCACTGCAGCCTGGGCAACAGGGTGAGACCTTGTCTCAAAAAGAAAAAAAAAGCTTTTTTAAAGATAGATAGAAGAAAATGTTTGCAATATGTATAACACATACAGTATATAGAACCCTCATATCAATATATATAATTTCCAAAGAAAAAGTGGATAAAGAATATGAGCAATTCATTCACAAAAAATACAAATAGCCAAAAGACATGAAAAAGAAAAAAACATTGTTAATAAAATAATTTTTTAATCTATCCAACTGGCAAAATTAAAAGGGTTGATGATATTCAATTTTGGTAAAGGAAGACATAGGCACACTTGTATATTGGCACAAACTTATTGAGAGCAGTTTGACCAAATTGCGCATGTCCTTTGACTCAGAAATTCCACTTATGAAAATCTACCCCCACAGAAAGACTGTAAGATACTCATGAGGCTGAACATTTTTTGAAACAAAGTCTATCGATATTGGGGTAAGGAGATTTGTTTTGTACACACAGTGGAACACTAATTATAAAGTCGTCAAAAAGTATGAGGTAGACTGTATATATTCCTGTGGAAAAATATAAATGAGATGTTAAATGAAAGAAGCAAGTTGCCAAGCAATATTTGTAGTATGGTTACATATCTCCAAATAAATGTGTCATATGTATGCTTTTAGGTACACCAAGGTGGGACTGGAAGGGATCACAGTACACTGTTAATAGTTATCAAATTTGTTCGTCCTTCTTTAAAAAGAAAATTTCAACTTAATTATATCCCTTTCACATTAAAATGTCAAATAAAATTGGGGGAAAAGCCACCTACAGCCCCACCACCCATAGGCTAGAATTTTTACATATTTTTTGCCAGTCTATTTTTTTTCTTTTTTTTTTTTTTTTTTTGAGATGGGAGTCTCCCTCTGTTGCCCAGGCTGGAGTGCACTGGCATGATCTCAGCTCACTGCAACCTCTGCCTTCCAGGTTCAAGTGATTCTCCTGACTCAGCCTCCCAAGTAGCTGGGATTACAGGCACATGCTACCACGCCTGGCTAATTTTTGTATTTTTAGTAGAGACAGGGTTTCACCATGTTGGCCAGGCTGGTCTCGAACTCCTGACCTCAGGTGATCCACCCGCCTCAGCCTCCCAAAGTGCTGGGATTACAGGCCATGAGCCACCACGCCCGGCCTCTTTTTTTCCAACCATAGGATTTGGTCTCTTGTTTTAGACAGTTATTATCTGATCCTCTCTCTCTCTCTCTTTTTTTTTTTTTTTTTTTTTTTTGAGATAGAGTCTCACCCTGTCACCCAGGCTGGAATGCAGAGGCGCGATCTCGGCTCACTGCAACCTCCGCCTCCCAGGTTCAAGCAGTTCTCTGCCTCAACCTCCCAAGTAGCTGGGATTACAGGCGTCAGCCACCACGCCTGGCTAATTTTATATATAATATAAAATATAATTATATATATATTTTGTTTGTTTGTTTTAGTAAAGACGGGTTTTCACCATCTTGGCCAGGCTGGTATTGAACTCCTGACCTTGTGATCCATTGTCCCCCCCCCCCAGCCTCCCAAAGTGCTGGGATTACAGGCGTGAGCCACCGTGCCTGGCCACATCTGATCCTCTCTACAGTTTTGTAGCCAGCTTTTTTCAAACACATGCCTCAGTTGTAGTGGCTGTTTAATATTATGTTTTTATAGTTGGAGGCCCTACTCCTTAAAACCTATGAATGTAAACCTCCCATGCAAGCCTGAGCACTCACCATGCTCACCACCTGAGCTCAGGTGGGGAACAAGCGAATGAGAGACAGGACCAGGTACTTTCTGGGTGGGACAAGTTGAGAGGGTCTGTGACAGGTCACAGCAGCACTAGGGAGAAGTGCCCCCCCCCACCAACCCTGATGTGATTTGGGTAGGGATGGTGGGCCTTCGCCAGCCACACCTGGGCCATTCTGTCTTCTTGCCTTCCTGGCCTTGCCTTCCCCTATTCCAGCTTTCTGCCAGGTAAACAGTACTTTCCAGCACTACCAAATAAAGATTTAAGGACTGCTAGCCCATTTCCTCTTACCCCGGGGAAAGAAAGTAGGTCCACAGGAAGGAAGGCTGCCTCCCTCCCCTTCTTCTATCCCCCAAGTGAAAGAGGTGGTTGGTGGCCACAGCAGGTGGGCCTGGCCAGGATGCCTGGGTTGGCAGTGAAGGAAGTAGCATGGCACTCAGCTAACCTTGGGCCAGATGCAGCAAGGTTGGGACTGAAGAAAAGGGGAGTTCAGGAACGTCGGTTCCTCTCCTGTTTTCTCTCAGCCCATGGGTGAGACCCTCTGTCACACTCCACTCCCTTTCCCCTGCCCTAGGTCAGCAGTCATTTGGAAAGAGCTTGCTCTGCCGCCGGCCATAGTTGTTGCCGGTTCACCTCCCCACCCCTCTCCCATCATCCCCTGGTAAGGCTGGCTGAGAGAAATTCCCCTGAAAACATTTATTTTACTCAGTTTATTGATAAGTGATAATAAAAGATAAGTATTACATATTTGTGTATTTATTAATGGCCCAGAGTAGAGCATTCAGATATTTTCCCAGTCTGATATATGGTTTCAGGTGAGAAAATAAGGGATTTATATAGTGACAATATTTTTAAGTGAAAAGTGGAATACATAGTCAAAGAATTTGGGCACTGCCTTGGTGGCTGGAGGCAGGTCAGAAAATGTCAGTTGGCATGGTAGAACTTCTAGGATGCTGAAATAGTTTGTGGAGACACAAGTAAGAATTTTTTTTTTTTTTTTTTGAGACGGAGTCTTGCTCTGTCACCTAGGCTGGAGTGCAGTGGCACGATCTCGGCTTACTACAAGCTCCACCTCCCGGGTTCACATCATTCTCCTGCCTCAGCCTGCCGAGTAGCTGGGACTGCAGGCGCCCGCCACCAGGCCTGGCTAATTTTTTGTATTTTTTAGTAGAGATGGGATTTCACCATGTTAGCCAGGATGGTCGTGATCTCCTGACCTCGTGATCCGCCCGCCTCGGACTCCCAAAGTGCTGGGATTACAGGCGTGAGCCACCGCGCCTGGCCGAGAATATTTTAAACTACCACACTTACCATGCATGTGGTAAACTATCAGTCTGTATTTATCAGTGATGGTTATTTCCTAATACCCAGGAGGCATCCATGTGAGCCACCCTTCCATTGCTTTAAGACCAAGGGAGTGAGTGACCAGCAGGATTCAAGATGGCAGCTCTGCCGAGGAGTGGGAGTCCCAGCTAACTTCTGCTCCCTGCTCTCCCACCAACAGCCTACACCGATTTCTTCCTCCCGCTGCTAAGCCGCTGTCCCTCCGCCATGGGAATAAAGAATAAGGATGGGGAGACCCCTGGCCAAATTTTGGGCTGGGGACCCCCCTGGGATTCTGCTGAAGAGGAGGAAGAAGATGATGCCTCCAAGGAGCGGGAATGGAGACAGAAGCTCCAGGGTGAGCTGGAGGACGAGTGGCAGGAAGTCATGGGGAGGTTTGAAGGTGAGAAGTCCACTGCTATCCACAGCTGCCCTTCCCCACTGGCTGCTTTCCATCTGCATGAATGCGTCACACTAGGCTCCTCTGCCCCCTCCTCTGTGCTTCCCTGCTTCTTGGGGCCCATCACCTTCTCACAGCCTCTCTCCAACTACCCCCATCCCACCCTCCCAAACAGGTGATGCCTCCCATGAAACCCAGGAACCTGAGTCCTTCTCAGCCTGGTCAGATCGCCTGGCCCGGGAACATGCCCAGAAGTGCCAGCAGCAGCAGCGAGAAGCAGAGGGATCCTGTCGACCCCCACGTGCTGAGGGCTCCAGCCAGAGCTGGCGACAGCAGGAGGAGGAGCAGCGGCTCTTCAGGGAGCGAGCCCGGGCCAAGGAGGAAGAGCTGCGTGAGAGCCGAGCCAGGAGGGCGCAGGAGGCTCTAGGGGACCGAGAACCCAAGCCAACCAGGGCCGGGCCCAGGGAAGAGCACCCCAGAGGAGCGGGGAGGGGCAGCCTCTGGCGATTTGGTGATGTGCCCTGGCCCTGCCCTGGGGGAGGGGACCCAGAGGCCATGGCTGCAGCCCTGGTGGCCAGGGGCCCCCCTTTGGAGGAACAGGGGGCTCTGAGGAGGTACTTGAGGGTCCAGCAGGTCCGCTGGCACCCTGACCGCTTCCTGCAGCGATTCCGAAGCCAGATTGAGACCTGGGAGCTGGGCCGTGTGATGGGAGCAGTGACAGCCCTTTCTCAGGCCCTGAATCGCCATGCAGAGGCCCTCAAGTGACCCTAGGGAAGAAGCAAGAAACTTCGGGGCTGCAGCCTCAGGATGAGGCAGAAGGAAGGGTAAGGGAAAGGATGGGGACCACAAGGAAGAGCCAGGTGCTGCTCAGCAGAGGATATGGGTGGGAGCGAAAGTTGTAACAAGTGGGGGTGGGGGGTGCGGGCCGCCACCACTGCTCCTTGACTCTGCCGTTTCCTAATAAGACCTGGTTCCACATCTCACTCCCAGTGTCTCCTCTGTCTTTTTCCATTGCTGTGGTTTTCATCACCCATGACATCTCCTTTCCCGCCCCGCCTGCTGAAACCCACAGCTCCCACACACCTGCAACACACACGCACACGCTAACACGGGCTCTGAGCTGGAGGCAAGAAGCCTCTGCATGCCCCCTCAGTTCAGCCCTAAGAAGGCCCAGTTTGCCATCCAGTCTCACTCCACTCCCTACACTGGGGTCTTGTCCACCCTGCAATCTGTGGCTGGAGAAATAGATGCGAACAGAGGCAAAAAGGGGAACAAAACCAGTTTCCCTCCCCTCCCTGGCTCCCCAAGCTGAACCACATCCTCCTCCCCACTTAACACCCCCTTCCCCCAACACAGGGCTTTCCCTTTGCTGAGTCACTGAATGAGCGAGTTGGGGGTAGCCGGCGCTGGGGGGCCATGAGGAGGCTGGGGGAGGATGGGGAATACAAGCAGAATGGCTGGAGGAAGAGCCCTGTGGGGGAGTGGAATTTCAGTTGCTAAAATTAGGAGCAGGGGAAGGAGGTGGAAAGAGCAAAATTATGTAACATGGGTTGTCTGTTCTTGGGCAACTGGAGCTCCACACCCAAAGCCAGCCAGGCTGCTGGCTCCATCCATCTCTGCCCTCTAGCTTGTCAGTTGTATCTCTCTTCCTCCAGGGCCCCAATCCTCATCTCCGCCATTCAGCTGCTGCCCCATCCTAAACCTGAGTTCATCTCTGGGCAGCCCAGGCATGGCCTTCCCTATAAACATTTCCTTTTCCAAGAACCAGTAGTTGAAGTCCTGAGAGGTGGAGGGAGAGTCTGGGATTCCCACGGAGGAGAGAGGGGGGCTCCCTGGAAACTAAGATAGGTAGACCCCACTACCATCGCCCAGGACACAACTGGGAACTTGGCAAAAAGAAAGGACAGGGCTGCAAGGAGAGTACAGACATGTGCTGGTGAGTGCACTGTCTGCATAGTTACACCAGAGCATCTTATCAATCAGAAACTTATCTTTCAGGTTTTGAGCCCAGTTCTCTACAGGAGAATCCCAGGAGTGGAAGTGGAAGGCAGTAGAAGACAGGGAGGGCACGCCTCTGGGAACACGGGAACATGGGTGGGCATGAGATCCTTGAATAAGACAGCCTGAAGTTCGGAAGAGACCAAGGCCTCTGAAGGACCAGGCAGATGTTCAGGGTGCAGGAGGGGGAAGGGCTGGTGAGAAAGATCCTGTGAGAGGAAGCTGCTGTGATTCAGAGAAGAGACTTCAAGCTGTGTGTGACCCTGGCGTCCGGTTCCTCTCACAGGCTGGAGCTTTTCGGAAGTGGCATGCAAAGAGTCCAGGTTTGGCCTTGGGGGGAGTTGGGGTTAGGATCCCTAAGCTGGAGGTTGAGAAGTAAATTACAGAAAACTCTGGTGACCAAATTTGCTCCTCCACCCAGGAGATTTCTCACTGGTTTTTAAGCACATCATTTCCCCTTCTGCAAGAGTTACATAAAACCAAAGCAAAATAAGCCCTGAAACCTGGGCCCACCGGACCACAGTCTTTTCAACGTCCCTTCCTGGTGTCTGGCCCCCAGCCCTGGTGGGGGTTCCCCTGAGATAAGGGCTGTTCACTTTCTCTGACCACATGGTTTCCGCTTCTGTGTCTCTTGTTTCCTAGGCTGATAAAAATACTGAGCCCTAGAGGCCCTGGCTTCCTCTGACCCCTTGGGGCAGGCAGCAGGCATCCTGTCCAGCATGGTGGGGGCAGGGACAGGGGCCAGGGATTCCCAAGGGGTGACTCAGTGCCTGCCATGAAACAGTGGGTAGGTGGAAGTGTATCTCTGCTCTCTAGAGCTGGCACCAGGAGTTGAGTCTCAGTGGAGGATGCATTGGGATTCAATTGGAGGAACAGGCCTGGAAAAGAATAATGAGATTGAAGAGGGTCAGTTTGAGGACTCAGGTTGGGGCAGGTTTGGATTAAGTTAGGAAAAGGATCTGGGAGGGACTCTGTTCAGTGTAGGTCAACTGAGCATTATGTAGCCCAAAGATAAATTTAAACCCTGCTTCAAGCTTACAATCTAGTGGGGAGGCAGACCCATACCTAGTTAACTGATTCAAGGCATGATGAGTAAACTTTAAGATGATTACAGAAAGAGGGGAGATTAAGTCCATTTGAAAGCATCCAGGGAGCCTCTGAGGAGACAGCATTTGAACTTGCTCTAATGAATGGGTTCACTAGGTGGAGGTGGATGGAAAGGTTCCATAGGCGAATAACACGTCTTGAGCGAGCCTGACAAGTCAGAAAATGCAGTATGTTCTGGGAAAGGAGCGTCCTGAGGGAGAAGAAGCACAGGTGTGAGGGAACATGTGATGAAGAAAGGACCACAGAAAGTCAAGGTCAGAGATTGGACTGCATCCTGTGGGCAGTGGTCCAGGTGACGATGAAAAAGAGGGAGAACAGGTGAGTGCTGCAGTACAGACAAGGAGTAAGAAAACGGCCATCATCTTGTGAATTAATACCTACTGTGTGTTAACCAGCCCTTTTCCTAACACCACAAATCCTCTCAACGTCTGTCCAAAAGGTGGGTGGTGGTGGCCAGGCACCTCACTCCTGTAATCACAGCACTTTGGGAGGCCAAGGTGGGAGCACTTTGGGAGGATCACTTGAGGCCAGGAGTTCGAGACCAGCCTGGCCAACATGGTGAAACCCCGTCTCTACTAAAAATATAAAAACTAGCTGGGTGTGGTCTTGGGCACCTGTAATCCCAGCTACTCAGGTATCTGAGGCACAAGAATCACTTGAACCCGGGAGGCAGAGGTTGCAGTGAGCTGAGATCATGCCTCTGCTCTCCAGTCTGGGTGACAGAGCAAGACTCTGTATCCAAAAAAAAAAAAAATTATTAAGCACCTATTAGGAGCAGGGCACTGCTTGACAATAGGTATAAATAATAAAGTCACTGCCTTCATAGAACTTGCAGTCTAATGAGACAGTATACAAATAATAACTATACATTATAGTTATAATGTATAGGTATGCCTGCTTAGGGTAATAAAGTGCTCAATGAAGGTTTGAGGTACCAGCATGACTCTCAGGTGGAGATTTCCAGAAAGCAGGTCTGGAGCTCAAGAGAAGTTGGGTCTGGAGGAACAGATTTGGGCATCATTCCCTTCCCAGTAGAGGTTGAGCCTTTGAGTGGACAGGATCTTCAAGGGAGGGGGCGGAGTGACCAGAAGAGCCCTGAGCATGATCAAAGGAAGAGAACCAATAAAGGAGAGGTTGGGGAGCAGTCAGAGAAGCAGGGCACGGGGGGCGGGGGATGCCAAGCAGAGACAGGGCAGCCATGTTTGAGGCTTCAAAGAGGTCTAGTAAATGAGGGTTGAAAAGATTGTTGGGTTCAGGAACTAGACGATTACAAATTTTGAGAAAACCGTTTCCATTTAATAGAGGGGCAGAAATCACTTTACATAGGTTGAGGAATGAGTGGGAGGTGAGGAAAAGGAGGTGGTGGGCATGAGGTCAGAATGGTGAACACAGAATAACTGAGAATCATCTCTTAGTTCTACCCACAGATTTTACAGTTGAGGGAAATTTTACCAGTTCCTGAAAAAGTGGTTCGTTAAGGGGGCTAGTCTTTTGAGACATCACACGAAAACGGAAGGTGAGATAGACTGGACATTTGAGGGAGAAATATTCCAAGGAAGGATCTTTTTTGTTGTTTATTTTCAAGAAATAAAATTGAAGGTAAAATGAAGATGCTTAAAGAGACAAAGATAGGCCAGGTGCAGTGGCTCACACCTGTAATCCCAGCACTGTGGGAGGCCAAGGTGGGCAGATCACTTGAGGCCAGGGGTTCAAGACTAGTATGGCCAACATGGCAAAACCGCATCTCTACGAAAGATACAAAAATTAGCCAGGCGTGGTGGCACATGCCTGTGGTCCCAGCTATTCACTGAGGTGGGAGAATCGCTTGAACTCAGGAGGCAGAGGGTGCAGTGAGCCGAGATCACACCACTGCACTCCAGCCTGGGTGACAGAGCGAGACTCAGTCTCAAAAAAAAAAAAAAAAAAAGCCCAGGTGCGGTGGCTCACCCTTGTAATCCCAGCGCTTTGGGAGGCTGAGGTGGGCAGACTATAGATATCAGGAGTTCAAAACCAACCTAGCCAACATAGTGAAATGCTGTCTTTACTAAAAATACAAAAATTAGCTGGGCGTGGTGGCACACGCCTGTAACCCCAGCTACTCAGGAGGCTGAGGCAGGAGAATCACTTGAACCCGAGAGGTAGAGGTTGCAGTGAGCCGAGATCGCGCCACTGCACTCCAGCCTGGGCAACAGAGCAAGCCTATCCCAAAAACAAACAAGAAAGGGAGAGATAGTGAAAACATAAGCAAGAAGTGGGGAGAGAATATAGTAAAGATAGAGGAAGTGGGATAGAGTACAGATAAAAGGATCAGTCTTGGAAACAAGAAAAAGTACTGTGAGTCAGTATGTAAGGAAAGATTAAATATAACAAAATTAAGGAAAAAGAGGGAAGTGAGATCCACACTTGATGGCCTTAAGCTCAATGAAATATTAATAGATGAGAGTGAAGAACATCAGAGGCACGGAGATTTAGAACATCACGCACAGTAGTATAATGGGGAGTCAACAAAGAATGAGTAAAAGTTGTGTCCAAGAACACTGATGACTCTCTGAGATTAGCTGGCCAGGATTAGTTATAGGCCTCTTATGGTGACTCAGCTGTCTACTGCAGCGCTTGGCAGCCTAAGACAAAGCCCCAAGAATGAGACCACTTAGTTTACCCAAGTCAATTTTTGAGACAGAGTTTCACTCTTGTTGCCCAGGCTGGAGTGCAATGGCTCAATCTTGGTTCCCTGCAACCTCTGCCTCCCGGGTTCAAGCGATTCTCCTCCCTCAGCCTCCAGAGTAGCTGGGATTACAGTTGCCCACCATCACGCCCAGCTAATTTTTGTATTTTTAGTAGAGATGGGGCTTCACCACATTGGCCGGGCTGGTCTCGAACTCCTGACCTCAGGTGATCCGCCCACCTTGGCCTCCCAAAGTGCTGGGATTACAGGTGTGAGCTACGGTGCCCGGCGGTAAGAGATTCTAAAATGCAGACAAAGTGGAGTTGAAATTGTTGACCATGCAGTACATGTTAAATCAACAAGCAAAACCAGGAAAGCAGAAGCAGCCGGAAGTCTTGGTAAGAATAAAGAACTGATTCAAGGGGAGGCAGAGAGTGGGAGATGTGAAAAGTGAGTGGTTGTGATGAGAAGGGTAATTCAGAGATCAAGATCTTGAAGGCATAATTCTTCCAAGTGATGCTGGGGTTTGAGGTACAACCTTACTCCTGGGTGGCTAAAATGGAGGAGGGAAGAAGAGGCTGTAAAACCAGTAGACTTGAGAAACTTGGAGAATTGAGAGGCCAGACTGTAAGACTCATCTGATCTGTGTGGCTTCTTTTTTTATTTTTATTTTTTTCCTCTGAGACGAAGTCTCGCTCTGTCACCCAGGCTGGAGTGCAGTGGTGTGATCTGGGCTCACTGCAAGATCCGCCTCCCGGGTTAATGCCATTCTCTCGCCTCAGCCTTCCGAGTAGCTGGGGCTACAGGCACCCACCACCACGCCCAGCTAATTTTGTTTTTGTATTTTTAGTAGAGACGGGGTTTCACCTTGTTAGCCAGGATGGTCTCGATCTCCTGACCTCGTGATCCACCCGCCTCAGCCTCCCAAAGTGCTGGGATTACAAGTGTGAGCCACTGCGCCCAGCCGATCTTTGTGGCTTTTAAAGTCACTAAAGATGGTGGTAGGAGGCCGGGTGCGGTGGGTCATGCCTGTAATCCCAGCACTTTGGGAGGCTGAGGCGGGTGGATTGCTTGAGCTCAGGAGTTCAAGACCAGCCTAGGCAACATAGCAAAACCCTATCTCTGGAAAAAAAAAAAAAATACAAAACTTAGCCGGGCACGGTGGTATGCGCCTGTAGTCCTAGCTACTCAGGAGGCTGACGTGGGAGGATCACTTGAGCCCAGGAGGTCGAGGCTGCAGTGAGCCAAGATCACGCCACTGCACTCCAGCCTGGGTGACAGAGCAATACCTTGTCTCAAAAAACAAACAAACAAGGATGATGGTAGGGATAAGATGTGGAGAAAGACTGAGCTAGTTATACAAGTTGTTAAGAGCATAATAAATATTTTGATGGATAAGATTGTGCTGTGAAGACAGGAAGAGCATGGCAAATGCAAAAGGCACGTGCTTTGGGAGATGAGGAGGAGTTTATCAGTGGTCTGGGGGAGAGAAAATAACGACCCCTCTCTTCTGCCTTCATTCCCCTAGTGATGGAGGTCGAAGAAAGAGCAACCTTCACCACAGAGAGGAGTAGCATCATTAGGGGAAAGCCAGGTTTCAAAATGCCCAGAGGAAAATGCTTTCAAACATAGAAGACAGGATTTGAAAATGTGAAGAGTTCCACCAAATATTGTGAAATGGATTGGTAGAAGGGTCCTTGTGGGGTAGGGAATTGAATCCAGGGAGGTTAAATCCCAGTGGGAATTCAGAAGACTAAGTCTGGAGAGTTTAGCTTCTAGGAGCAGGAGGTTGTTGCCTCTGGAATTCAGAATGGAAGATGCACTGCATCCATTGTGAGGGGAAACAAGTGCCTCAAAGGGGTCTTATAGGGATGCACAAGATAAGTTCCATGGCTTTAAACACCATCCTCATGCTGACCATGCCCAGGTTTCTTTCTCTAGCTTGGACCTTGCCCCTGAAATCCAGATGTGTATCTGCCCAGTGGCATCTCTACTTGCATGTCTAATAGACTTAGACTTACCACACCCAAAATAGAATTTTTTAGTTTTTCCATCCATCAGAATCCTGCTTCTCTCCCAGTATCTACATCTCCCACCCATCAATCCATCATCTAGTCCTGTTGTTTCTACCCCTGGAATGTATAATATATCCCAAACTTGTCTACTTCTCTCCATCTCCATGGCTGCCACTATTTTCTCTTCACCATCAATGCCACTGCCACCTGTCTCCTACCAGCCAGCCTAAACACAGGAGCCACAGTGATCTTTTAAAAACAAGTCCAGGCTGGGCGCGTTGGCTATGCCTATAATCCCAGCACTTTGGGAGGCCGAGGTGGGTGGATCACGAGGTCAGGAGTTCAAGACCAGCCTGCCCAACATGATGAAACCCTATCTCTACTAAAAATACCAAAATTAGCCAGGCACGGTGGCGCATGCCTGTAATCCCAGCTACTCGGGGGGCCGAGGCAAGAGAATCACTTGAACCTGGGAGGTGGAAGTTGCAGTGAGCCAAGATCATGCCGTAGCACTCCAACCTGGGCAACAGAGCGAGACGCCATCTCAAAAAAAAAAAAAAGTCCAGGCAAGACTCAGTGGCTCATGCCTGTAATCCCAACACTTTGCGAGGCTAAGGTGCAAGGATTGCCTGAGGCCAAGAGTTGAAGGCTGCAGTGAGCTATGATGGTGCCATTGCACTCCAACCTGGGCAGAAAAGTGAGACTCCATCTCTTAGAAAAAAAAAACCAGGCCGGGTGCAGTGGCACATGTCTGTAATTCCAGCACTTCGGGAGGCTGAGGCAGGCGGATCACTTGAAGTCAGGAGTTCAAGACCAGCCTGGCCAACATGGTGTACTTTCTATACTAAAAGTACAAAAATTAGCCAGGCATGGTGACATGCACCTATAATCCCAGCTACTTGGGAGACTGACATAGGTGGATTGCTTAAACCTGGGAGGCAGAGGTTGCAGTGAGCCGAGATTGTGCCACTGCACTCCAGCCTGGGTGACAGAGCGATTCTGTCTTAAAAGAAAAAAAAAAAAAAAAAAGGCTGGGTGCGGTGTCTCACGCCTGTAATCCCAGCACTTTGGGAGGCCGACGCAAGTGGATCACCTGAGGTCAGGAGTTCGAGACCAGCCTGGCCAAGATGGTGTACTTTCTCTACTAAAAGTACAAAAATTAGCCAGGCATGGTGGCATGCACCTATAATCCCAGCTACTCAGGAGGCTAAGACAGGAGAATCGTTTGAACCCGGGCAGCAGAGGTTGCAGTGAGCTGAGATTACGCCATTGCACTCCAGCCTGGGCAACAGAGTGAGACTCCGTCTCCAAAAAAAAGAAAGAAAAAAAATCCAGGGCCAGTGTGGTGACTCATGCCTGTAATCCCAAAACTTTGGGAGGCTGGCCCAGCATGGTGGCTCACACCTGTAATCCCAAAACTTTGGGAGGCTGAGGCAGGCGGATCACCTGAGGTCAGGAGTTTGAGATCAGCCTGACTAACATGGTGAAACCCCATCTCTACTAAATACAAAAAATTAGCCGGGAATGGTGGCATGCACCTGTAATCCCAGCTACTTGGGAGGCTGAAGCAGGAGAATCGCTTGAACCCAGGAGGCAGAGGTTGCAGTGAGATGAGATCAGTCATTGCACTCCAGCCTGGGCAACGAGCGAAACCGCCTCTCAAACAAACAAAAAAAAACTTTGGGAGGCCAAGATGGGCAGATCACTTGAAACCAGGAGTTCGAGACCAGCCTGAGCAGCATAGACCCTGTCTCAACAAAAATTTTAAAATATTTTTTAAAATTAGCCAGGCACAGTGGCACACACCTGTAGTCCTAGATACTTGGGAAGCTGAGGTGGAAGGATGACTTGAGCCCATGGTTTTGAGGTTGCAGTGGGCTATGATGGTGCCACTGCACTCCAGCCTAGGCCACAGAGCAAGACACCATGTCAAAAGAAAAAAAAATCCAATCACCTCTGCTCACCTCCCTCTTTCTCTCTCTCTCTCTCTCTCCCTCCCCCTCTCTCCCCTGCAACACACACACACACACACACACACACGCACGCATGCACGCACCACACACTCTGACGACCTTTAAAGGCTTCCTGTGGCTGGATGAAATCTAGAGGCTTTACCCTTCTTGCATGGCCCTGCATGACCTGGCCCCTGCCCTCCTCTCTGACCTCATCTCCCACCCGCCTCCCAGTCTCTCTCTCTGCTCCAGCCACACTGGCCTTCTGTTTGTCGTCAACACCCCCAGCTTGGTTCCGCCTTCCAGCCTTTGCAGTAGCTGCTCCCTTTACCTGAAATGCTTTGCTCCCAAACTTTTACCTGGTCACTATTTTTTGTCATTTGGGTCTCAGCTCCAGTGCCACCCAAACACTCAAAGAGGATTTTGCTGACTACTGTATTTAAAAGTAGCTCCCTGCCACTCTTACAACATCAGCCTGTCTTATTTTCTCATAGTACCAATTTCTTCTTCAGTTTCTTTCTTTTCCGTCTGGCCTCACTGGAATACAAGCTCCACAGGTGCTGGTACCTTCTCTGATCCCTTTGCCTCCATGTCCCTCCTGCCTTAGGACAATGCCCAGCATGTGTTAGGCACGCAGATACTCACTAAATGGAGGAATGGATGAATAATTCATAAAGCAGGATAAAGTTCAACTTTAGGCTTGTGGCTCAGATTGGACTTACATTTAGAGTCAGATTTAAGTTTAGTGTTAGGAGTGGTGGTAAACTGGTTTCAAGATTAGCCCTAGAAACAGGGTTGGGTTGGGGTAGAGGAGAAGTTTTATTTAGGGGGTTATTAATTGGGATGTGTTTAGATTTAAGGTTAGGGTTACAGTTGGGGTTGAGTTTGAGTTGTGATTTGGGTTGAGGTTAAATTTGGGTTAGGGTTGATGTTGGTATTAAATCCCAATTCAGGTTTTGAGGCTAAGTTCAAGTTTGAAGCTAATGTCATTTCAGTCTCATTTGGAGGCTTCAGAGATTTCACTAGTTTCTCCACAAAGACCACTATAAAGACTGTATTTCCCTGAGTCTGGGGCACAAGACTCCAGTCATCAGCTCTCCCACCCAGGGAAAGTCCCAAACCAACTGCTGGCCTGCCCAAGAAAGAAACCAAATTCATACAACCTCCGAAACTGAGATTGAAACCAAGATTGGCCCATCTCAAGGAGCATCCTTCGCATATCTCACATGCACGTGACACTGAGCCTCAGCCCAGTCTTACCCTTCCTTCCTCTGTGTCTCTCATGTCTCCCCATCACCCTTCTTGCCTTCCCTTTTTTGTCTTTCAATGTCCCATTCTTCCTCTTTAATTTAAATTTCTCTCTGTGTCTCACTGTTAATTGCAATACCTTTTTTTGTTTGCTTGTTTTGTTTTGTTTTGTTTTTTGGTTTGTTTGTTTGAAATGGAGTCTCACTTTGTTGCCCAGGCTGGAGGGCAGTGGCACGATCTCGGCTCACTGCAACCTCCGCCTCCTGGGTTCAAGCAGTTCTCCTGCCTCAGCTTCCCTAGTAGCTAGGATTACAGGCGCGTGCCACCATGCTCGGCTAATTTTTTGTATTTTTAGCAGTGATGGAGTTTCACCGTATTAGCCAGGATTGTCTCTATCTCCTGACCTTGTGATCTGCTCGCCTCAGCCTCCCAAAGTGCTGGGATGACAGGCATGTGCCACTGCTCCTGGCCTTGTAATAACATTTTATATTTTAATATAGCTCAGCTGGGGTCCCAGTCCATCAGCTCATACCATTAGAGAAGCAGAAAGAGACAACAGGAAGCAAAAAGGACCCTGAGAGAAAGGGCAACACAGAGAAAAAGAAAGGAGCAGGGGCTAAAAGGGAAACCCACACTGACACAAGAGATAATAAGGTTAAAAGAATGAGAAGAAGGTTGGGCGCAGTGGCTCACGCCCATAATCCCAGCACTTTGGGAGGCCAAGGCTGGTGGGTCACCTGTGGTCAGGAATTCAAGACCAACCTGGCCAACATGGTGAGACCCCGTCTCTACTAAAAATACAAAAAAAAATTTGGCGGGCTTGGTGGCGTGTGCCTGTAATCCCAGCTACTCGGGAGGCTGAGGCAGGAGAATAGCTTGAACCTGGGAGGCAGAGGTTGCAGTGAGCCAAGATCGTGCCACTGCACTCCAGCCTGTGCGACAGTGAGAAACTGTCTCAAAAAAAAAAAAAAAGGAAAAGAAATTTTCTGACCTATCTCATCTGATAGTAGGTTATAAGACCCTCATTCCAGAAGAGGTTCTGCCCTATACCTGGGAGGAAGGAATGCTGTACAGAGAGACCAAGAAGAATATGGCCAGGCCTTGCTGGGATCCCCCCAGTCCCAGTCTGTGACCATTAGATGATACTCCTTTTGTTCAATTACATTTCTGCACAGCTGTTCATTCTTCATCAAATCTAAGCATAAAAATAGTTTTCCCCTGGGTCCTTGGGTCTTCATTTCTGAAGGCTCCCATGTCACCTAAAACTTTGATTAAATAAATGTATTATGCTTTTCTCTTGTTAATCTGTCTTTTATTATAGGAGTATTGGCCATAACCCTTATGATGGGTCAGGAAGGGATCACCCCTTTCTGCCCCTACAGAAATAATAGCTAAGACTAGTAAAGCATAAAAGGCAAAGGGGCAGGTCCTCAAGTAGAGAAGAACAGGAGAAATAGCTCATACACACCCAGAATGTTACTTACATGTCCCTCCATGTTACACCAAGACCCCTCAGGGACCTTGTGCCTGGGGAGAGAAGTGGTCTGCCCCATGCAACAGTGGGCTTTACCCCGGGTCACCACCAGCCCCAGCTCCAACCCCTCTAACACTCTCCAAGTAAAATCACATCAGTAGCAGTAATAATATTTGAGGTGACAAGTTGGTATTATCTCAAACTTAGGAAAAGTGAATAAAGTCATCTTTAGAAACTGCTTTTTTTAAACCTTGTAACTTGCAAGCTAAGTGAAAATGGGCTCATGTATGAGAATGTTCGTGTTAGACATTTTTTGTGTTAGACAAAAACTAGAAACAAACCAAATCCCCATCAACAGAATATATTAGAATATATTGATACAATAGAATATTACATCATAATTTTTTTTAAAAACATTACTGATACATACAACCACGTATATGAATCTCACAAACATAATGCTGACTGAAAGAAGTCAAACAGAAATGAGTACATTCTGTGTGATTTCATTTATATGATGCCCCAAACCAGGAGGAAATAATCTATGGTGATAAAAGTGAGAGAGTGGTTGGTTATCTTTGGAGGGTATCAGCAGGGAGGGGGCATGAGGGAACCTGCTGGGGACCTGAAAATACGTGGAGCTGGGTGGTGGCTACATACAGATGGAAAAATTCATCAGCTGTACACTTAAGAGGTGTCCACCTCATACCTAAGTTACATATCAATAAAAAGGAAAAAAATTTTGGAAACTTTTTTTTTTTTTTTTTGAGACAGAGTCTTGCTCTGTCCCCCAGGCTGGAATACAGTGGTGCGATCTTGACTCACTGCAGCCTCCGCCTCCCAGGTTCAAATAATTCTCCAGCCTCAGCCTCCCGAGTAGCTGGGACTGCAGATGCGCACCAGCACGCCTGGCTAATTTTTGTATTTATTATAGAGATGGGGTTTCACCATGTTGGCCAGCTGGTCTCAAACTCCTGACCTCAAGTAATCCGCCCACCTCAGACTCCCAAAGTGCCAGGATTACAGGTGTGAGCCACTGCACCAGGCCTGGAACAATTTTAAAATAATGTATTGGCTCTGCAAATGCAGCTTCAGAACAAGTCCCTTAGCTGTCCCCACCCCACCCTAAGTCACCACCCTTAAGCCTCACCCATGTGGAATTCTGAAACTTCCTTTGTAGAAAACTTTGGAAGGTGTCTGCCACATTGATCCTGGAATGTGTGTTTATTTGGGGTTATATAAATCTGTTCTGTGGAAGCCACCTGAAGTCAGGAAGAGATGGAGGGCATCCTTCAGGAGTGAGATGAGACCTCATCATACTTGACTGTCCAGCATCATCTCTGAGTAAGGGGACCAAAAAATTTATCTTCCAAACTAGGACACTTTCAAGAGTGGAAGGGGGATCCATTAATATTTTCACCTGGACAAGAGGCAAACACCAGAATGTCCCCGATGAAGGGGATATATAATGGACCTTCTTGATGTGAAACCTGCCAGATGGGCTGGAAAGTCCGTATACTGGGACAAGTATGATTTGAGTTGTTTGGGACAAGGACAGGGGTACAAGAGAAGGAAATGGGCAAAGAGAGAAGCCTGTACTCAGCCAAGGGTGCAGAGATGTTATATATGATTGCTCTTCAGGGAACCGGGCCTCCAGCTCACACCCCAGCTGCTCAACCACCTCCTCTCTGAATTGACTGTCCCTTCTTTGGAACTCTAGGCCTGACCCCACTCCCTGGCCCTCCCAGCCCACGATTCCCCTGACCCGACTCCCTTTCCCAGAACTCAGTCGCCTGAACCCCCAGCCTGTGGTTCTCTCCTAGGCCTCAGCCTTTCCTGCCTTTGACTGAAACAGCAGTATCTTCTAAGCCCTGGGGGCTTCCCCGGGCCCCAGCCCCGACCTAGAACCCGCCCGCTGCCTGCCACGCTGCCACTGCCGCTTCCTCTATAAAGGGACCTGAGCGTCCGGGCCCAGGGGCTCCGCACAGCAGGTGAGGCTCTCCTGCCCCATCTCCTTGGGCTGCCCGTGCTTCGTGCTTTGGACTACCGCCCAGCAGTGTCCTGCCCTCTGCCTGGGCCTCGGTCCCTCCTGCACCTGCTGCCTGGATCCCCGGCCTGCCTGGGCCTGGGCCTTGGTGGGTTTGGTTTTGGTTTCCTTCTCTGTCTCTGACTCTCCATCTGTCAGTCTCATTGTCTCTGTCACACATTCTCTGTTTCTGCCATGATTCCTCTCTGTTCCCTTCCTGTCTCTCTCTGTCTCCCTCTGCTCACCTTGGGGTTTCTCTGACTGCATCTTGTCCCCTTCTCTGTCGATCTCTCTCTCGGGGGTCGGGGGGTGCTCTCTCCCAGGGCGGGAGGTCTGTCTTCCGCCGCGTGCCCCGCCCCGCTCACTGTCTCTCTCTCTCTCTCTCTTTCTCTGCAGGTTCTCCCCATGACACCACCTGAACGTCTCTTCCTCCCAAGGGTGTGTGGCACCACCCTACACCTCCTCCTTCTGGGGCTGCTGCTGGTTCTGCTGCCTGGGGCCCAGGTGAGGCAGCAGGAGAATGGGGGCTGCTGGGGTGGCTCAGCCAAACCTTGAGCCCTAGAGCCCCCCTCAACTCTGTTCTCCCCTAGGGGCTCCCTGGTGTTGGCCTCACACCTTCAGCTGCCCAGACTGCCCGTCAGCACCCCAAGATGCATCTTGCCCACAGCACCCTCAAACCTGCTGCTCACCTCATTGGTAAACATCCACCTGACCTCCCAGACATGTCCCCACCAGCTCTCCTCCTACCCCTGCCTCAGGAACCCAAGCATCCACCCCTCTCCCCCAACTTCCCCCACGCTAAAAAAAACAGAGGGAGCCCACTCCTATGCCTCCCCCTGCCATCCCCCAGGAACTCAGTTGTTCAGTGCCCACTTCCTCAGGGATTGAGACCTCTGATCCAGACCCCTGATCTCCCACCCCCATCCCCTATGGCTCTTCCTAGGAGACCCCAGCAAGCAGAACTCACTGCTCTGGAGAGCAAACACGGACCGTGCCTTCCTCCAGGATGGTTTCTCCTTGAGCAACAATTCTCTCCTGGTCCCCACCAGTGGCATCTACTTCGTCTACTCCCAGGTGGTCTTCTCTGGGAAAGCCTACTCTCCCAAGGCCACCTCCTCCCCACTCTACCTGGCCCATGAGGTCCAGCTCTTCTCCTCCCAGTACCCCTTCCATGTGCCTCTCCTCAGCTCCCAGAAGATGGTGTATCCAGGGCTGCAGGAACCCTGGCTGCACTCGATGTACCACGGGGCTGCGTTCCAGCTCACCCAGGGAGACCAGCTATCCACCCACACAGATGGCATCCCCCACCTAGTCCTCAGCCCTAGTACTGTCTTCTTTGGAGCCTTCGCTCTGTAGAACTTGGAAAAATCCAGAAAGAAAAAATAATTGATTTCAAGACCTTCTCCCCATTCTGCCTCCATTCTGACCATTTCAGGGGTCGTCACCACCTCTCCTTTGGCCATTCCAACAGCTCAAGTCTTCCCTGATCAAGTCACCGGAGCTTTCAAAGAAGGAATTCTAGGCATCCCAGGGGACCACACCTCCCTGAACCATCCCTGATGTCTGTCTGGCTGAGGATTTCAAGCCTGCCTAGGAATTCCCAGCCCAAAGCTGTTGGTCTGTCCCACCAGCTAGGTGGGGCCTAGATCCACACACAGAGGAAGAGCAGGCACATGGAGGAGCTTGGGGGATGACTAGAGGCAGGGAGGGGACTATTTATGAAGGCAAAAAAATTAAATTATTTATTTATGGAGGATGGAGAGAGGGGAATAATAGAAGAACATCCAAGGAGAAACAGAGACAGGCCCAAGAGATGAAGAGTGAGAGGGCATGCGCACAAGGCTGACCAAGAGAGAAAGAAGTAGGCATGAGGGATCACAGGGCCCCAGAAGGCAGGGAAAGGCTCTGAAAGCCAGCTGCCGACCAGAGCCCCACACGGAGGCATCTGCACCCTCGATGAAGCCCAATAAACCTCTTTTCTCTGAAATGCTGTCTGCTTGTGTGTGTGTGTCTGGGAGTGAGAACTTCCCAGTCTATCTAAGGAATGGAGGGAGGGACAGAGGGCTCAAAGGGAGCAAGAGCTGTGGGGAGAACAAAAGGATAAGGGCTCAGAGAGCTTCAGGGATATGTGATGGACTCACCAGGTGAGGCCGCCAGACTGCTGCAGGGGAAGCAAAGGAGAAGCTGAGAAGATGAAGGAAAAGTCAGGGTCTGGAGGGGCGGGGGTCAGGGAGCTCCTGGGAGATATGGCCACATGTAGCGGCTCTGAGGAATGGGTTACAGGAGACCTCTGGGGAGATGTGACCACAGCAATGGGTAGGAGAATGTCCAGGGCTATGGAAGTCGAGTATGGGGACCCCCCCTTAACGAAGACAGGGCCATGTAGAGGGCCCCAGGGAGTGAAAGAGCCTCCAGGACCTCCAGGTATGGAATACAGGGGACGTTTAAGAAGATATGGCCACACACTGGGGCCCTGAGAAGTGAGAGCTTCATGAAAAAAATCAGGGACCCCAGAGTTCCTTGGAAGCCAAGACTGAAACCAGCATTATGAGTCTCCGGGTCAGAATGAAAGAAGAAGGCCTGCCCCAGTGGGGTCTGTGAATTCCCGGGGGTGATTTCACTCCCCGGGGCTGTCCCAGGCTTGTCCCTGCTACCCCCACCCAGCCTTTCCTGAGGCCTCAAGCCTGCCACCAAGCCCCCAGCTCCTTCTCCCCGCAGGGACCCAAACACAGGCCTCAGGACTCAACACAGCTTTTCCCTCCAACCCCGTTTTCTCTCCCTCAAGGACTCAGCTTTCTGAAGCCCCTCCCAGTTCTAGTTCTATCTTTTTCCTGCATCCTGTCTGGAAGTTAGAAGGAAACAGACCACAGACCTGGTCCCCAAAAGAAATGGAGGCAATAGGTTTTGAGGGGCATGGGGACGGGGTTCAGCCTCCAGGGTCCTACACACAAATCAGTCAGTGGCCCAGAAGACCCCCCTCGGAATCGGAGCAGGGAGGATGGGGAGTGTGAGGGGTATCCTTGATGCTTGTGTGTCCCCAACTTTCCAAATCCCCGCCCCCGCGATGGAGAAGAAACCGAGACAGAAGGTGCAGGGCCCACTACCGCTTCCTCCAGATGAGCTCATGGGTTTCTCCACCAAGGAAGTTTTCCGCTGGTTGAATGATTCTTTCCCCGCCCTCCTCTCGCCCCAGGGACATATAAAGGCAGTTGTTGGCACACCCAGCCAGCAGACGCTCCCTCAGCAAGGACAGCAGAGGACCAGCTAAGAGGGAGAGAAGCAACTACAGACCCCCCCTGAAAACAACCCTCAGACGCCACATCCCCTGACAAGCTGCCAGGCAGGTTCTCTTCCTCTCACATACTGACCCACGGCTCCACCCTCTCTCCCCTGGAAAGGACACCATGAGCACTGAAAGCATGATCCGGGACGTGGAGCTGGCCGAGGAGGCGCTCCCCAAGAAGACAGGGGGGCCCCAGGGCTCCAGGCGGTGCTTGTTCCTCAGCCTCTTCTCCTTCCTGATCGTGGCAGGCGCCACCACGCTCTTCTGCCTGCTGCACTTTGGAGTGATCGGCCCCCAGAGGGAAGAGGTGAGTGCCTGGCCAGCCTTCATCCACTCTCCCACCCAAGGGGAAATGGAGACGCAAGAGAGGGAGAGAGATGGGATGGGTGAAAGATGTGCGCTGATAGGGAGGGATGGAGAGAAAAAAACGTGGAGAAAGACGGGGATGCAGAAAGAGATGTGGCAAGAGATGGGGAAGAGAGAGAGAGAAAGATGGAGAGACAGGATGTCTGGCACATGGAAGGTGCTCACTAAGTGTGTATGGAGTGAATGAATGAATGAATGAATGAACAAGCAGATATATAAATAAGATATGGAGACAGATGTGGGGTGTGAGAAGAGAGATGGGGGAAGAAACAAGTGATATGAATAAAGATGGTGAGACAGAAAGAGCGGGAAATATGACAGCTAAGGAGAGAGATGGGGGAGATAAGGAGAGAAGAAGATAGGGTGTCTGGCACACAGAAGACACTCAGGGAAAGAGCTGTTGAATGCCTGGAAGGTGAATACACAGATGAATGGAGAGAGAAAACCAGACACCTCAGGGCTAAGAGCGCAGGCCAGACAGGCAGCCAGCTGTTCCTCCTTTAAGGGTGACTCCCTCGATGTTAACCATTCTCCTTCTCCCCAACAGTTCCCCAGGGACCTCTCTCTAATCAGCCCTCTGGCCCAGGCAGTCAGTAAGTGTCTCCAAACCTCTTTCCTAATTCTGGGTTTGGGTTTGGGGGTAGGGTTAGTACCGGTATGGAAGCAGTGGGGGAAATTTAAAGTTTTGGTCTTGGGGGAGGATGGATGGAGGTGAAAGTAGGGGGGTATTTTCTAGGAAGTTTAAGGGTCTCAGCTTTTTCTTTTCTCTCTCCTCTTCAGGATCATCTTCTCGAACCCCGAGTGACAAGCCTGTAGCCCATGTTGTAGGTAAGAGCTCTGAGGATGTGTCTTGGAACTTGGAGGGCTAGGATTTGGGGATTGAAGCCCGGCTGATGGTAGGCAGAACTTGGAGACAATGTGAGAAGGACTCGCTGAGCTCAAGGGAAGGGTGGAGGAACAGCACAGGCCTTAGTGGGATACTCAGAACGTCATGGCCAGGTGGGATGTGGGATGACAGACAGAGAGGACAGGAACCGGATGTGGGGTGGGCAGAGCTCGAGGGCCAGGATGTGGAGAGTGAACCGACATGGCCACACTGACTCTCCTCTCCCTCTCTCCCTCCCTCCAGCAAACCCTCAAGCTGAGGGGCAGCTCCAGTGGCTGAACCGCCGGGCCAATGCCCTCCTGGCCAATGGCGTGGAGCTGAGAGATAACCAGCTGGTGGTGCCATCAGAGGGCCTGTACCTCATCTACTCCCAGGTCCTCTTCAAGGGCCAAGGCTGCCCCTCCACCCATGTGCTCCTCACCCACACCATCAGCCGCATCGCCGTCTCCTACCAGACCAAGGTCAACCTCCTCTCTGCCATCAAGAGCCCCTGCCAGAGGGAGACCCCAGAGGGGGCTGAGGCCAAGCCCTGGTATGAGCCCATCTATCTGGGAGGGGTCTTCCAGCTGGAGAAGGGTGACCGACTCAGCGCTGAGATCAATCGGCCCGACTATCTCGACTTTGCCGAGTCTGGGCAGGTCTACTTTGGGATCATTGCCCTGTGAGGAGGACGAACATCCAACCTTCCCAAACGCCTCCCCTGCCCCAATCCCTTTATTACCCCCTCCTTCAGACACCCTCAACCTCTTCTGGCTCAAAAAGAGAATTGGGGGCTTAGGGTCGGAACCCAAGCTTAGAACTTTAAGCAACAAGACCACCACTTCGAAACCTGGGATTCAGGAATGTGTGGCCTGCACAGTGAAGTGCTGGCAACCACTAAGAATTCAAACTGGGGCCTCCAGAACTCACTGGGGCCTACAGCTTTGATCCCTGACATCTGGAATCTGGAGACCAGGGAGCCTTTGGTTCTGGCCAGAATGCTGCAGGACTTGAGAAGACCTCACCTAGAAATTGACACAAGTGGACCTTAGGCCTTCCTCTCTCCAGATGTTTCCAGACTTCCTTGAGACACGGAGCCCAGCCCTCCCCATGGAGCCAGCTCCCTCTATTTATGTTTGCACTTGTGATTATTTATTATTTATTTATTATTTATTTATTTACAGATGAATGTATTTATTTGGGAGACCGGGGTATCCTGGGGGACCCAATGTAGGAGCTGCCTTGGCTCAGACATGTTTTCCGTGAAAACGGAGCTGAACAATAGGCTGTTCCCATGTAGCCCCCTGGCCTCTGTGCCTTCTTTTGATTATGTTTTTTAAAATATTTATCTGATTAAGTTGTCTAAACAATGCTGATTTGGTGACCAACTGTCACTCATTGCTGAGCCTCTGCTCCCCAGGGGAGTTGTGTCTGTAATCGCCCTACTATTCAGTGGCGAGAAATAAAGTTTGCTTAGAAAAGAAACATGGTCTCCTTCTTGGAATTAATTCTGCATCTGCCTCTTCTTGTGGGTGGGAAGAAGCTCCCTAAGTCCTCTCTCCACAGGCTTTAAGATCCCTCGGACCCAGTCCCATCCTTAGACTCCTAGGGCCCTGGAGACCCTACATAAACAAAGCCCAACAGAATATTCCCCATCCCCCAGGAAACAAGAGCCTGAACCTAATTACCTCTCCCTCAGGGCATGGGAATTTCCAACTCTGGGAATTCCAATCCTTGCTGGGAAAATCCTGCAGCTCAGGTGAGATTTCCGGCTGTTGCAGCTGGCCAGCAGTCCGGAGAGAGCTGGAGAGGAGCCGCATTCTCAGGTACCTGAATCACACAGCCAAGGGACTTCCAGAGATTCGGGTGTCTAGGCTTCAAATCACCCTGTCCTAACTCTGCAACCTGAACCAGCCACTTAACCTATCTATCCAATGGGGATAGGAATGTCCACCACACATAGGGCATGTGAGAGAAGGCCTGACCTCCATCAGAGGACCTCACTCAGCCCTTGGCACAGTGGGCACTTAGTGAATTCTGGCTTCCTTCAACCAGTTTCCAGCTGTTCTATCCCCTTCCATTCTCTCAGTGGGTGAAATCGAAGAGACTGAGGACAATAAAGAACAAGGAACCGAACTGCCGGACGTGGTGGCATGCACCTGTAATCCTACCACTTTGCAAGGCCAAGGTGAGAGGATCGCTTGAACCCAGGAGTTCCAGAGCAACCTGGGCAACATAGTGAGATCCTGTCTCTATTTTTTAAAAAAGAATGAAACATAGGAATAAGATGTGGGTGAAGGACTCACATGCCGGCTTGGTCCCACTGGTCTTTGTGGTGAAGGAGGGGAGAGGTGAGAGGTGGGTAATCCGGAAAGAGAAAAGCACCCCCTCCCTGGATGAAGGCTCTTCTGGAGAGAGTCAAAGACAAATAAGGGTGGGGCGCAGTGGCTCATGCCTGTTATCCCAACACTTTGGGAGGCTGAGGTGGGAGGACCACTTGAGCCCACTAGTTCAAGACCAGCCTGTGCAACATAGCAAGACCTTGTTTCTAGAAAAAAAATTAAAGATTAGTCAGGTGTAGTGGTGCATGCCTGTAATCCTAGCTCCTCAGGAGGCTGAGGCAGGAGGATCACTCAAGCCCAGGAGTTTGAGGTTACAGTAAGCTATGATCATGCCACTGTACCCCCGTCTGGGTGACAGAACGAGACCCTGTCTCAAAAAAATAATAATTCCAAAAACAAATATGGAGACGGAAATTGAGCCCCCCTAGACTGGGAGCCCCCACTGAGTTCGGAAATTAGGCTTTACCTCCAGCCCTGGGGTGCCAGGCAGGAGAAAACCATGTGGTAGGCTGAGGGGGTAGGGTGACCCATTGGGGTGACCTAGATAGGGCCTTGGGTCACCCTCTGCCTCCTCCAGCCTGTGGCTGAAAGTCAGCCATGAAGTAATGGGGGACACTGTTACTCATCCCAGAAGCACCCACACTTACTCACTTTTGGGAAGGGGGACCTAAAGTGTGAAAAAAAGGTGAGGATTTTCCGTCTCACCCTAAATGGGACACCCTAAGTGGGGCATCGGTTTTTCCTCCTCCCCAGAACTTCCTGGTGTTTTCAGGCACCACAGGCTCCTTCCTGCCATCCCCATCTCTCTCTAATATTCTCCCCTTCTTTCTCCTTCAGCCTCCTCCCTTCAGACCCCATGAGCCTTGAATTAAGCTCCTTGGAGGAGAAGAGTTGACTGTCGGGTAGGAGACAGAGAGGCCTTCAGGCAGCTCTAGGGGGAGAAGTGCGGGGCCCCTCCAGGCTTCATTCCTCTGTCATGATAGGGGCTTACTCTGCTGCTGGGCCTTTCTGAGTGGTGCTTGCTGGGCTCTGTAATGACCCCTCTCACTGTTGGGGGGTACCCAAGAGAAAAGAGTATGGTGCAGAGTCTGGTTGGGACCATGTGGCCCTGAAAATCAGGATGCCTAGAGAAGCTTCGGAGTTTGAGAAGTCCCCCTTCCTCCCACCCTCCAACTGGGCTAATGGTGGGGCCTGGCCATTCAGAGGCAGGGAGGGGGTGGGACAGGCAGACCATCATCCCTAGGAGCAAAGGCCATACACTGTGTTGTGATGAATTGTTTCAAGCAACCAGAAGAGTACTGAGAATATTTAACCCGCACCCGTGCACCCACCCTGAATTAAGACGTGTGTCGCAACTCAGCATCTTTATCGGCAGCACTGAAGCTTTCCATTCTTTATTTTCATCAGGTTCAAAATCAATTTCCAAACAGTCTCCTACATTTTTCCCACTGCCATGGGGTCCTGGGCGTCCGGGCCCCCAATATTCACGCACTCGCACCACGCACTCATATTCCCTCACCCCACCATCACGGCCCCAAAGAAGGTCTTCCCTCTCGCGAAGTCCACCATATCGGGGTGACTGATGTTGACGTACACCCTCTCGCCCCTCCGGAGCTGCACCAGGCCGCCGAACCCCACGCTCGTGTACCAGAGAGGCCCGTACCCTTGTCTCCTGGCCGGGTCCAGCACTGGAGTCACCGTCTCGGCGCCCTCGAGCAGCAGCTCGGGAGTGCCCGGCCCGTAGGCGCCCCCCGCCCGGTACAGAGAGCTGCGCAGCGTGACCGAGCGGCCCTGGGGGTCCCCGCCGCCAGGGGGCGCCCGGCCCCGGTAGCCGACGAGACAGTAGAGGTAATAGAGGCCGTCCTGCGGGAGCGCCAGCCCCTCGGCGTCCGAGAACTGCGTCCCGCTCGTCAGAAACGCCTGTTCCTTCGTCGTCTCCCAGCCTAGCCCCTGCCCCTTCAGCGGAGCGCCTGCGGAGACACGGGCCGACGCGCTCTTGGGAATGCGATCCTAAAGGCTTGGGACTTCTGGGGAAGTGGCGGCTTTTAGCCCCTGCGGGAGCCGAGCCGGGCCGGGGGAGGAGGGATGGTGCTGTTTCTGGGATGAGTGCGAGTTGGGGGCCGAGGGAACACGGATGTGGGGTGCAGAACGCTGTAGTGGGGACCTCCAGGCCGGCTTTTGCTTGCACCGGAGGGAAGAAGAAACTACACTGCGGGGACGAGCGTAAGAGTGGGCACGAGCGACAAAAGGTCGTGAAGCGGGTGGGAAACCGAGCACTGGAATCATGGAGCCGAAGGACTCTGGGCGAGCAGAACTGGAACCTTCGGATTATTTACACTCTTATTCAGGTCTTGGAGGTCCTTACCTATGAGGTGGGCAGCTGGGAGCCCGGGGCTGAGATCTGTTTCTGGCTCCTCCTCTGGCAGCTTCTGAAACCCTGGAAGGGGCAAAGAGTCCACGATTGGGGGCAGGGCAGCCACCCATGCAGGCTACCCTTGAGAGAACAGGGCGCAGGGATGGGGAGCCTGGATTCCTAGAGGAAGAGGTATCTGGGGACGCAGCAGGGAGCTGGGAGCCCCTGAGGGTCTGAAGCGGGGAAGGAGAGACAGTCTGCTCTTACCCAGTCCTTGCTGGGCCTGTGCCCCGGGGTCGGCCGTCTCCGTTACCTGGTTGGGTGGGGTCACAGTGCCCAGAGTTCAGATTCAGCTCATGTCACCCCTACCCCTCTGAAAGTGGACCCAAGCTGCAGGCCTGGGGTTTCTCCTACCAGCACCATCCCCAACACACACCTCCTTAGAAGGGAGAACAAGCAAGGCATAGGTACTTGGGCGGAGAAACAGATGTACCTCGGGAAGAGGAGAGGAGACACAAGGGGCTTATGTCGGGACACAAGCACAACATCACAGGAACATGGAAAGAGAGTCAGCAAAGAGACAAGACATCCCCACCAGGGACAGCCGAGCCAGCTGAGCCAGAGGGGGCAAAAGACCACAGGCACAACCAGAGGGAGCCAAGCATCCGCAAGATACAACTCTCCACCAGGGCCTGTTGCAGCCACTCACCAGTCCTCCCTGATCCTGGGGCACTAAGGCCAGCACAGCCAGGACAGTGATAGGCACCGCCAGCAACAAGGTCACCAGAGAAGTGGCTCCTGCCACAGCTAGCAGGAGGGAACCCCTCCCCTGGAGCCTCCCACCCCTGCCCTCCAGCCCCAGTGCCCCCATTGAGACTGAACCAGAGCCAGAGCAGGGGGCTTTCATACCTCAGGGACGGGCCCACCCCCTCCCTGTAGACCTGCACACCTGGCTGGGACTTTCCGCACACCCCTGCTCCCCTCACCCAGCTTCCTGTTTACCCAGAGCTGGGGTGGGGCAGCTGGATGCCTGGGTTCTCTGAACTGGGGAAGAAGTTGAGGTTAGGGAGACAGGCTCTCAGGGTGGAACCAAAGGGGTCTTTAGACATCTTCTGGCTCAGCAGAGAGAGAAACTGAGGCCCAGGGAGGGAAGGTAGCTTGCAGGAAGCCAGTCAGCAGAGCTGAAATGAGAACACAGATCTCCAGGTTTCCAATGTGGTTTGCATTCTTCTATACCCTCAAGGTAGGTGCTGGAGGAAGAGCTGATCCCGTCTCTGAGGTCAAGGGCCGGACTAGGACAAGGACTGGAATCTTGAGGGATGGATGTCTGGGTTCCCTGAGAAGAACTGATTCCCATACTGGGCTGACCTCCTCCCGTTCCCTTGCTCATCTCCAGCCCCCTGTGCTGAGTGAGAAAGGGAGAGGTAAGCCTTAGCCTCACCACTGACTACTGACTCACTAAGGAGGGATGGAAATGGAGCTTTACCTCCCTTGCTACAAAAAGTAAAGACAGATGGACGAGGCATACTCCCACCCTCAGAGAGCTTCCAAGTCTACAATGAGCCCTATCCATTAGTAGGTGCTTACTAAATGTTTATACATAAATGAATAAAAGGACAAATAAATGCAGGAATAACCAAAACAAAGCAGCAAGGACCACATGAATGGTAGATGTAGGCAGCATGAGTGGTTAAGAGTCAAGGGAGTAGCCGGGGTAGTGGCTTACACCTGTAATCCCAACACTTTGGGAGGCTGAGGCAGGTGGATCACTTGAGGTCAGGAGTTCGAGACCAGCCTGGCCAACATGGTGAAACCCTGTCTCTACTAAAGATACAAAAAGTTAGCCGGGCGTGGTGGCACGCGCCTGTAATTCCAGCTACACAGGAGGCTGAGGCAGGAGAATCACTTAAACCTGGGAGGCAGAGGTTGCAGTGAGCCAAGATTGCACCATTGCACTCCAGCCTGGGCAACAGGCTGAGACTCTCTCTCTCAAAAAAAAAAAAAAAAAAAAAAAAAGAGTCAAGGGAAGAAAGACCAGGTCCAAGGAAGCTGGAAGTGGCTCCAATCATCTCCCCTTCTTGGTAACATCTCTATGTGTTTCCGTAATACTAATAATAATATAGCTGACCCACAAAATGCACTTAACATGTTTATGCCACTGATTTACACACTTTAATAATTTTTTTTTTTGAGACAGGGTCTCGCTATGTCACCCAGACTGGAATGCAATGGCAGGATCATGGCTCACTGCAGCCTTGACCTCCCAGGATCTATGGATTCACCTACCTCAGCCTCCTGAATAGCTGGGACTATAGGCACATGCCACCATGCCCAGCTAATTTTTGCATTTTTTGTAGAGATGGATTTTTGCCACATTGCCCAGGCTGGGCTCAAACTCCTGGACTCACGTGATCTGCCCGTGTTGGCCTCCTAAAGTGCTGGGATTACAAGCATGAGCCATCATGCCCAGCCAATAATTATAATCCTGACAAAAACCCTAAGAGGAAACTGAGGTACAGAGAGGTTAAGAAACTTATGGAGCTCACAGAGTCAGTGGCAGAACCAGAATTTGAACCCAGGCATCTGGCTCCAGAGCCTTGATAACAAGACAGTTTAAAAACTGAATACTGGGGCTGGGCGCAGTGGCTCTTGCCTATAATACCAGCACTTTGGGAGGCCAAGGAAGGTGGATCATCTGAGGTAAGGAGCTCGAGAGCAGCCTGATCAACATGGTGAAACCCCATCTCTACTAAAAATATAAAAATTAGCGGGGCGTGGTGGTAGGCACCTTTAATTCCAGCTACTTGGGAGGCTGAGGCAGGAGAATCACTTGAACCCAGGAGGCGGAAGTTGCAGTGAGCCGAAATCATGCCATTGCACTCCAGCCTGGGTGACAAGAACAAGACTCTGTCTTAAAAACAAAAACAAACAAACAAAACAGTATTAGGCCAGGCGAGATGGCTCACACCTATAATCCCAGCACTTTAGGAGACCAAGGCAGGTGGATCACTTGAGGTCAAGAGTTTGAGACCAGCCTGGCCAACATGGTGAAACCCCTTCTCCATTAAAAATACAAAAATTAGCTGGATATGGTGGCACAAACCTGTAGTCCCAGCTACTTGGGAGGCTGAGACAGGAGAATCGCTTGTACCCAGAAGGCAGAGGTTGCAGTGAGCCAAGATCACACCACTGGACTCCAGCCTGGGCAACAGAGCAAGACTCCGTCTCAAAAAAAAAAAAGAGTACTGACTTGAGATTTGTATGTAAAATTTGCCTTCCTCAGGCCAGAAAAGAAATGGGGAAATAAATACTGAACTCCAGTCAATGTTAAGCTTCTGAAGGGTTTAGATGTAAAATGTACTGATATTTGTAATTTTAAAAGATATTTAAAAGTGAGATGGATTGATAAATATGTGATAAAGCAAATAAAAAATGTTAATAGAGCCAGGTGCAGTGGCCCACTCCTGTAATTCCAGCACTTTGGAAGGCTAAGGTGGAAAGATTGCTTGAGACCAGGAGTTCAAAATCAGCCTGGGCAACATAGTAAGACCCCATTTCTACAAAGCCTCATGTGGTAGCTGGTGTCTGTAGTCCTAGCTACTCAGAAGGCTAAGGTGGGAGGACCTCTGAGCCCAGGAATTCAAGGCTGCAGTGAGCTATGATTTCACCACTGCACTTCAGGCTGAGTGACAGAGTGAGACCCCATCTCAAAAACAAAACAAAACAAAAAATGTTAATAGTAGCATCTAGGTGGTAAGAATATGTTCACTGTACAATTATTCTCATTTCACCCTATGTTTGCACTTTTTAATAATAAAATGTAAAAAAAACAAAACAAACAAACAAAAAACCCTGAATATTATTCAGCATGGGGAACATGGAGGATGGGGAGAAGGGTGGGGGAGGAAGTAGAAGGTTCTTGAATTTGGAAGGGGAAACGCAAATTAATATGGACCCACCCAGGCACCACATCTCCTCCTCACCCCTTGCCTTACAGGCGCTCCCCAGTCTTCACCCTCCTCAAGGAGTGGGTGTGCAATCCTCCAGCACCCATCTCCTTCTCCATCACAGTGCCACTAAGAAGCCTTCACCCAGGTCTCTCCAGAGAGCCTCAGGCCGCTGCCTTTACTTAGTTCTGTGTTCAATGCCAGAATGCTGCCTCCTACAGGAAGTCCACCTGTATTGCCCACACCTCCTTTCCTGTCACCAACTTGTCACCAACTTTCTGTCCTTGATCTATCCACAGGGCTCATGTAGATCTAGTATGGCTGCCTTTAACTCTCATGTTTGTTAATCAGACAGCCAAGCAGCCTGCTGCATAGAGCTGCAGAACACCAAGTGGGTCACCAGAACACCAAATATGCCAGAGCTCCCAGTCTGAACTGGAGCAGGGTACATGTGTCCACAGACATATGCCAAGATCAAGAGGTCTCAACAGATGCAGTGTAAGAGGTAATAGAGAAGAGTTAATCAAGGAAGACACCTGAAGGTGGTGGGTGTTTGCTGACTAGTGGCAGGATCAGTGAAATGACTGGAGCTGAGGCAGATTATGGCCCTAGCTACAGGCCCAGAAGTTTGAAAAGAAAGATGTTGTAACCCTAACCCTGGAGCCGAACTTCCTCTCCTAACAATGCTGGGGAGGAACCCAGGCTGGGGGAGAAGTTAAAGCCAGAGGAGGGGCAGGAATGTCTGAGGTGGCAACACTTCTCTTCAGCCAGACAGCACTGGCCAGTTTGGAGTCTGTCCATCCTGCAGGCCACAAGCTCTGGGTAAGCTGGGAATGGGCAGGGACCTTGGTGGAAGGATGGTCACACCCCAGAGTGGGGTGAAGCTAAGATGAGGGGAGGGAGAGTATGGGTTTGAGTTTCCCTGGGCCGTCGAGGAATCCTCTGAGTCTCTGCTCCCCAAAGAAATTAAAGACAATTCATTTCTGTGCCCACGGCCCTTATGGCCTCCACCTGCACTTCTGCTCCCCACCCCCCAGAATTCCTCTTAAACCCAGAAGGGTCCCAGTTTCCAGACCCTAGTCAGTATATCTGGCTCTGGGGTGAAGAGAACGGCCCCCTCTTCACCCTCAAACAGGAACCAGTGGTTGGAGGGGAGGAAGTGCCTGAGGGGAAGTTATGGGGCCCCAGATACTCCTCCATGCCCCACTTCAGCCCTAGCAGCATCTGCCTGTGGGAAGCAGCTCTCCACACCAGCCAAGGGGGCCCCCACACTCCCGCGCTGCTCTGCGGCTCAGGGAGCAGCCCACCTGCTGGGTGTGCTGATATCACCCTCCCTTCTTCCCCCCAGTGCCCACACCCACCCAGGCCCAGGCTCCTTCCCCTCCATCATCCCCTTACCAGCACCTAGAACCATCCAGGGCTGAAAAGTCCCCTCCAAACCACGTGGTCAGCCCAGGGCAGAGGAAAGGGCTGGGCTCTGGAGTTGGGCAGAGCTGGCCTTAAACCCCAGCTCCACCTTTCTGGGATGGGTGACCTAGTAAAGTCCAGGCTTGAATCTCGGGTCTTTACTTGGGCAACGGGCACCATGATACCCTATGTTCTGGGGATTAGCAGTGAGGAATGGAAAGTGCCCAGCTCAGGGTTGGCACATAAGGGAGGCTCCCCAGCCTGGGAACGATTATAACAGAGGGCCCCTCACTTCACAGATGAGGAACTTGAGGCAAGTCACCAGCCCCTGATCATTTCGCCTAAAAGAGCAAGGACTAGAGTTCCTGACCTCCAGGCCAGTCCCTGATCCCTGACCTAATGTTATCGCGGAATGATGGTAAGTAAAGTGTCTCTTGCATCTGCATAGAGAGGGTCCTGGGAGCTTAGGAAGTGATGGGGAACAGTGATGTATGCAGCTCATGACTAGGTGGACAGGCCTCTGGGGACAGCTGGTACAGGAGGGAAAGGGACCTCACGGGAGGCCCAGAAACCTGGTAAGAGGTGAGGTATTAAGGTCTGGGATGGAGAAGCTCTGAGGGTATATTTTTCTGCCTCTAAAACTGTTGGAGAGGGAATCTGAGAAAGCTGCAACCAACCAGGAGGCTGGGGTACGCTGGAGAAGGAATGGGCTTCCTAACCTTGAGCCCTCTTCCCTGAAGATATATGTATCTACGGGGGCCTGGGGCTGGGCGGGCTCCTGCTTCTGGCAGTGGTCCTTCTGTCCGCCTGCCTGTGTTGGCTGCATCGAAGAGGTGAGCGCTGCACTCCCTCCCTCCCCCTGCAGCAGTGCCCCCTGTGCCCCCACCCCCACACGCTTTCCCACTGCTTTCCCAGAACACTGCCTGGCCCTGGAGCCACTGGGAAGCCAACAGGGGAGTCCACGCCTGCTGGTGGGGGGAGCCCGGGAGGGCCCGGGAGAAGCACAAAGGGTGGGCTGTGTTGAGCTTCTTCTTTTCTTCCAGTAAAGAGGCTGGAGAGGAGCTGGGTGAGTCTGGGGACAGGGAAGGGGGAGGGCAAGAGAGATCCTGAGTGGGTGAGTGGGGAGAAGCATGGCTGAGCGCTGAGAGGAGGGTTGGGGACGGGAGACAAGGAGAGAGAAAGTAGGAGCATGAGAGAGGCAGAGAAAATCGAGGCAAAAGAGAAAGAGAAAATGAGACAGAAACCAAGAGAAAAAGTGAGACAGAGGATAGGAGAGACAGGGAGAAAATGAGAGTGAGAGAGACACAAAGAGAAGAGCAATGAAAGAGAGAGAGAGAGAGAGGCTCCAGAACCAGGCACAGTGGCTCACGTCTGTCATTCCAGCTATCGCAAGGCTGAGGCAGGAAGATAGCTTGAGCTCAGGGGTTGAAGACAATCCTGGACAACATAGTGGGACTCTGTCTCCAAAGAAAAAAGAGAGAGAGAGAGAGAGAGAGAGAGAGGGAGAGAGAGAGAGAGAGAGGGAGAGAAGTAAGAAAGGCTGGAGGTGGGAGCAGAACTCACAGGGAAGGATCTGACGGCATCGCCTCCCATCAGCACCTTCTGTCCTGGTCCCAGGCCCAGGGCTCCTCAGAGCAGGAACTCCACTATGCATCTCTGCAGAGGCTGCCAGTGCCCAGCAGTGAGGGACCTGACCTCAGGGGCAGAGACAAGAGAGGCACCAAGGAGGATCCAAGAGCTGACTATGCCTGCATTGCTGAGAACAAACCCACCTGAGCACCCCAGACACCTTCCTCAACCCAGGCGGGTGGACAGGGTCCCCCTGTGGTCCAGCCAGTAAAAACCATGGTCCCCCCACTTCTGTGTCTCAGTCCTCTCAGTCCATCTCGAGCCTCCGTTCAAATTGATCATCATCAAAACTTATGTGGCTTTTTGACCTTTGAATAGGGAATTTTTTAAATTTTTTAAAAATTAAAATAAAAAAAACACATGGCTCACCCTTCCACCCACTCTGGGGTCAAATAGTAATTTATTGGGTGAATGACAGTGTTCAGGGACCCAAGCTCCCCTAACAGCCAGAAGAGGGTATGTGTGGGCCTGGCAGGAAAGGGCAGTTGCCAAGGAGGAGTCATATCTGATCCTTCCCATTTCTCAGGACAATCAGGCTCAGCCTCCTGGGACTGGGGGAAGCAGATGTGCTGAGCTCCCACATGGTGGTGGGAGGGGCGCTGGGACCACAGCCGGCAGCTGCCTTCTTGGACCTTTCCAGGTCAGACCTGGTGGAAGGGAAAGTTCAGAGTTGGGGGAATCCGGAGAGAGTAGATTTGGCATCTGGAGAATGGAGAAGAAAACACTTGAGACTCATGAGGAGTTAGTGGTGGGGCAGATTTATTGGGGTCTTTTGAAGAGGACTAGGGACATCTGGGCTCTGGAATCACTCCTCGGGGCCCATCTGAGGAGTGGCAGTGTGTTCCCATGTGACAGTGGCCTGGTCAGAGAGAGGACAGGAGCTGCTCAGTGTTGCAGTCCCGAGGCTCTCCTCTTCCTGGTCTCTGTCCTCCCTCCTCCCACTCTCTTACTGCCCCTCCCATCCCGTCCACTATTGCCCCTGGCTCCATTACTCACATTTGCCCTGGTAATAGACGGTGCTGCCCACGGCCACAGAGAGAAAGCTGACAGCATAGAATCCAGCCCGAAGGAGGAGGACTGTACCAGCCCCTAGCTGAGGATGTTCTGCATGGGGCAATGGAGACGGGGGTTGGGGAAGAAGTGCACACAGGCTCAGGGAGGGAAGGGGCCTCAGAGGAGCATCCCTGCCTCCCAAGGACATTGCCTCTTGGGGCCTCCAGCCAGGAGGAGACACCACCTCCCAGCATCTCACCTTTCTCCACCACCAGCCGAGTCCCATTCCCTGTCCCGACACCAAGGCCCAGCACCTCCACTCTGCACACGTAGATGCTGGCGTCATGGCCTCGCACGTCCCGGATGTGCAGCTCAGCCTGGTGGTCATGGAGGAAACGGGAAGAAGCAAGTGGGGCCAGGCGGCCCCTGAACTCTGGGGTTCCATTCCTCACCTCCTTCCCTGGAACCACCTCATCTCGGAACCACGTGACGGAGCCAATGGCCAGTCTCCCTTGGCTGGCATTGAAGGAGCAGGGCAGGAAGGCAGAGGATCCTTCCAGGGTACGAATCTCAGGGGGCTGGGACACCCAGAGAGCACAGGATCCTGGGGGCAGAAGGAAGACCCAGAGAAACACCTCCCCAGTTATTCCAAAGAGAAAAGACAACAGAGCTTGGAGTAGAACATCCCAGCTTTCTCCAGGCATAGGGTGCATGGGAATAGATACTTTGGGTGCCTCATTAAACCCTTCCCTCTTAACCAATCTGATTTCTTAACATTGCTTATTAAATCATTTTTCGGCTGGGTGCAGTGGCTCACGCCTGTAATCCCAGCACTTTGGGAGGCCGAGGTGGGCGGATCACCAGGTCAGGAGATCGAGACCATCCTGGCCAACATGGTGAAACCCCGTCTCTACTAAAAAAATACAAAAATTAGCCGGGCATGGTGGTGTGCACCTGTAATCCCAGCTACTCGGGAGGCTGAGGCAGGAGAATCGCTTGAACCCGGGAGGCAGAGGTTGCAGTGAGCCAAGATTGCGCCATTGCACTCCAGCCTGGGCGACAAAGCAAGACTCCATCTCAAAAAATAAAAAATAAAAATCATTTTTCAAATTCTTCCTATACCAACTCTCACTCTCACCCTCTGCCATCATTCTCCAGCCAGTTCAGTAGTAACTTGTCTAGCTGAAATGTAAACCATCATGGTGAAATTAAGCTCATTAATGAATGCAGCTGCCTAGTTAACTAATATCACTCATTATATTATCCAGGTATTATTTTAGTACAAATGGCATTGTACAGTAAGCCATCCTTCCTCTTTTTCTTTTTTCTTTTTTTGAGATGGGGTCTTGCTCTGTTGCCCAGGCTGGAATGCAGTGGTGCAATCTTGGCTCACTGCAAACTCCGTCCCCTGGGTTCAAGCGATCCTGGTGCCTCAGCCTCCCAAGTAGCTGGGACTACAGGCACCCACCACCACGACTGGCTAATTTTTGTATTTTCAGTCGAGACAGGGTTTCACCATCTGGTCTCAAACTCCTGACCTCAAGTGATCCACCCACCTCGGACCAGGCTGGTCTCAAACTCCTGATCTCAAGTGATCCACCTGCCTCGGCCTCCCAAAGTGCACCCAGCCACTCTTGGTTTTCGTTAAAGAAAGTAACTAATTAAATCTCCAGGTGAAGACGTGGCCTTAATTGGTTGAGATTCCTATTTAACCCGTCCATGTTGATGAATTAAACCAAATATTAAAATCCCTGATTAAATTATCTACTTAGGGAAATTTACAAGTCATTCTATTTCAGTGGTTCTCAAACTTGAGTGTGTATGGAAATTACCTGGAGCATCTGCTAGAACAGATTCCTGGGCCTACCCCCCGAGTTTTTGACTCAGTAGGTCTGGAGTGGGGCCTAAGAATTTGTTCTAGGTTCCCAGAAATCCACATTTTGAGAACTCCTGCATTTAGTTAATAATATGCCTGATAGTTAAGGTCTCTCAGTTCATTAAAAACAGTTTCGGCCGGGTGCAGTGGCTCACGCCTATAATCCCAACACTTTGGGAGGCCAAGGCGAGTGGATCACCTGAGGTCAGGAGTTTGAGACCAGCCTGGCCAACATGGTGAAACCTCGTCTCTACTAAAAATACACAAGTTAGCCAGCAGTAATGGCATGCACCTGTAATCCTAGCTACTTGGGAGGCTGAGACAGGAGAATCATTTTTACCCAGGAGGTGGAGGCTGCAGTGAGCTGAGATACCGCCACTGTACTCTAGACTGGACAACAGAATGAAACTGTCTCAAAAAAAAAGTTTCACCACCAGGCGGGCGCAGTGGCTCATGCCTATAATTCCAGTAATTTGGGAGACCGAGGCAGGCAGATCACTTGAGATCAGGAGTTTGAGACCAACCTGGCCAACATAGCAAAACCCCATCTCTACTAAAAATACAAAAATGGCTGGGCGCAGTGGCTCAGGCCTGTAATCCCCGCACTTTAGGAGGCCGAGGCAGGCAGATCACCTGAGGTCAGGAGTTCAAGACCAGCCCGGCCAACATGGTAAAACCCTGTCTCTACTAAAAATACAAAAATTAGTTGGGTGTGGTGGTGCGCGCTTGTAATCCCAGCTACCTAGGAGGCTGAGGCAGGAGAATTGCTTGAATCTAGGAGGCAGAGGTTGCAGTGAGCCAAGATCATGCCACTGCACTCCAGCCTAGGTGACAGAGCAAGACTCCGTCTCAAAAAAAAAAAAAATTAGCCAGGTGTGGTCGTGCGTGCGTGTAGTCCCAGCTACTCAGGAGGCTGAGGCAGGAGAATCACCTGAACATGGGAGGCAGAGGTTGCAGTGAGCCAAAATCGCACCACGGCACTCCAGCCAGGCGACAGAGCGAGACTCAGTCTCAAAAAAAAAAAAAAAAAAGTTTCACCAAGAAATTTATCATAGATTTACTTGGATCTCTCAAACTAAAAAGCCTCACAGTGGGTGACACAGAGAGACTGTGAATTGGGGGAGTCCACTGAGTGTCACCTTTGGAGCAGTCCCACTCCTCCCTCAGAGCCGTGTGTTTCAGCCCCCACCAAGCCCGTTCCCTATAGCATCTAGTCCAGCCTCCTGGATCTCCCTCCTCCCACCCACACTCCTTGGGGTCCTGAGCGCACGCCCTGTCACCTGGATGGACCATGATCAAGATGAGCAACAGCATCCAGGCCATGTCGGAAGATGTCCCAGTTGGCGAAGGGGATCTGAGCAGTGAGGTCTGGGTGGAGGAGGAAGGACTCACTACTTGTAGCCAGGCCTTTGGTCACCAGATGGGGATGGGGAGCTTCCTATGACACACGGGACTCACACATCACTTGCCAAGGACCACAACTGCCAGGGACCTCGAGCATCAAATGCTTGCCTCCCTGAGGAGAGAGGACAGATGCTGCTGGAGGAGATGTCAGGGTCTCTAGGAGGCCAAGGGGCCAGCTTGTGGCAGGCTAGCTAAGCGTGTGAGGGGGAGGGTGGGGCTTAGATGGCTGCTAACCCAAGGGTGAGTGGGCGGTTGGGCGGGTGAGACCAGGATGTGGGTTCCCCCACCTTCCGAGGTTCAAGGAGACCAGCTTTTACCCAGAACAAGCCTCCAGGAGCCCTCCTTGGCCCAGAAGCTAACCTACTTACCCTCCCTGCTGCTCACCAGTACCCAGACCCATCCCACCCATTCCCTTCCTGGAATCTGGCCTCACTGCACCCCAGGGCTACTCCAAGATTTCTATGAGGGATTAGGAGAAGCAAGCTGATTGGTGAAGCTATATTTAATTTGCATAGCAATCACCTTGTGTGTGTGTGTGTGTGTGTGTGTGTGTGTGTGTGTGTGTGTGTGTTTGGTTGGGTTTTTTTGTTTTTTGTTTTTTTTTTGAGCTGGAGTCTCACTCTGTTGCCCAGGCTGGAATGCAGTGGCACAATCTCGGCTCACTGCAACCTCTGCCTCCTGGGTTCAAGCAATTCTCTTGCCTCAGCCTCCCAAGTAGCTGGGATTACAGGCGCACATCACCAAGCCCAGCTAAATTTTGTATTTTTTGTAGAGACAGGGTTTTACCATGTTGGCCAGGCTGGTCTCCAACTCCTGATCTCAAGTGATCCACCAGCCTCGCCCTCCCAAAGTGCTGGGATTCCTGTTTTGGTTTTTTGAGACAGGGTCTGGCTCTGTCTCACCCAGGCTGGAGTTCAGTGGCGCCATCACGGCTCACTGCAGCCTCAACCTCCAGGGCTCAGTTGATCCTCCCACTTCAGTCTCCTGAGTAGCTGGGACTGCAGGCGCACACCACCACACCAGGCTAATTTTTGTATTTTTTGTAGAGATGGGGTCTCCCTGTGTTGCCCAGGCCGGTATCCAACTCCTGGGCTCAAACAATCCATCCACTTAGGCCTCCCAAAGTGCATGAGTCACCATGCCTGGCGAAATGTATTTCTTAAATAATGAGACTTGAAAGTCTAAATTACTCCTTAAACCATGGACTACAGGATGGATGTTATGTTAGCAGGCAGGAAAACAACATTCAGCTGGGCGTGGTGGCTCATGCCTGTAATCCCAGCACTTTGGGAGGCTGAGGTGGGAGGATCACCTGAGGTCAGGAGTCCGAGACCAGTCTGATCAACATAGAGAAACCCCGTCTCTACTAAAAATACAAAATTAGCCGGGTGTGGTGGGGCGCACCTGTAATCCCAGCTACTCGGGAGGCTGAGGCAGGAGAATCACTTGAACCCAGGAGGCGGAAGTTGCAGTGAGCTGATATCGCACCATTGCACTCCAGCCTGGGCAACAAGAGCGAAACTCCGTCTCAAAAAAAAAAAAAAAGAAAAAGAAAACAACATTCGTCTCTTTGGACATCTCCATCAGAGCTCTTGGATAACTATGTACATTGTCAATGAGCAGTAATCATTTTAAAGAAATCTTGTTTTTCGGAGCAGTAGACCTCAACAGTAGGCTTAAAATATTCAGTAAACCAGCGGGGCATAGTGGCTTACACTTGTAATCCCAGCACTTTGGGAGGCCAAGGTGAGAGGACGGCTTGAGGCCAGGGGTTTGAGACCAGCCTGGGCAACATGGCAAGACCCTGTCTCTACAAAAAAATTTAAACTTAGCTGGACATAGTGGCACACACCTATAGTACCAGCTACTCAGGAAGTTGAGGAAGGAGGATTCCTTGAGCCCAGGAGTTTCAAGGATGCAGTGAGCTATGATTTTGCCACTGCATTTCAGCCTGAGCAATGGAGGGAGACCTTGTCTCTAAATAAAATACAATTTAAATTGGGAATAGTAGTAAATGGAGTTTAAAAAAAAATAATTTTGGCTAGGTATGGTGGGTCACACCTGTAATCCCAGTACTTTGGGAAGCCCAGGAGGGCAGATCACTTGAGTTAAAGAGTTGGAGGCCAGGCCAGGCATGGTGGCTCATGCCTGTAATCCCAGCACTTTGGGAGGCTGAGGCGGGCGGATCACGAGTTCAGGAGATCGAGACCATCCTGGCTAACACGGTGAAACCCCATCTCTACTAAAAATACAAAAAATTAGCTGGGTGTGGTGGCATCTGCCTGTAGTCCCAGCTACTCAGGAGGCTGAGGCAGGAGAATCACTTGAACCTTGGAGGCAGAGGTTGCAGTTAGCCGAGATTGCGCCACTGCACTCCAGCCTGGGTGACAGAGCAAGACTTTGTCTCAAAAAAAAAAAAAAAAAAAAAAGAGTTGGAGATCAGCCTGGACAACCTGACGAAACCCTATCTCTACAAAAAATACAAAAATTAGCTGAGCATAGTGGCTCATGTCTGTGGTCCCAACTACTCAGGAGGCTGAGGTAGGAGGATCATTTGACTCTGGAAGGCAGAGGTTTCAATGAGTTGAGATCATGCTGCTGTACTACAGCCTGGGCAACATATTGAGACCGTGTCTCAAAAACAAACAAACAAACAAAAAAAAGAAAAATTTTAAAATCAGTAAACCACGTTGTAAACAGATGTACTATCATCTAGGCTTTTATTTATTTATTTATTTATTTATATATTTTTTTGAGATGGAGTCTTGCTCTGTCACCCAGGCTGGAGTGCAGTGGTGCAATTTTAGCTCACTGCAACCTCCGCCCTCTGGGTTCAAGTGATTTTCCTGCCTCAGCCTCCCTAGTATCTGGGATTACAGGTGACTGCCACCACACCCGGCTAATTTTTGTATTTTTAGTAGAGACAGGGTTTGACCATCTTGGCCAGGCTGGTCTTGAACTCCTGACCTCAGGTGATCCGCCCACCTCAGCTTCCCAAAGTGCTGGGATTATAGGCATGAGCCACCACATCCAGCCATCTAGGCTTTATTGTTCCATTTACACAGCGTGGCAGAGTAAATTTAGCTAATTCTTGCCAAGTGCAGTGGTATGTGCCTATGTCTCTGCTACTCAGAAGGCTGAGGTGGAAGGATCACTTGAGGACAGAAGTTCAAGACTGCAGTATGCTACGATTTTGCTTGTGAAAGCCATGGCTCCATGGCACTCCAGCCTGGGCAACAGAGCAAGACCTTCTCTCTCTCTCTCTCTTTTTGAGACAAGGTCTCACTCTGTTGCCTAGGCTAGAGTGCAGTGGCACAATCACGGCTCACTGCAGCTTCAACCTCATGGGCTCACACCATCTTCCCACCTCAGCCTCCTGAGTAGCTGCCACACACCACCATGCCTAGATAATTTTTGTATTTTTTGTAGAGACAGGGTCTTACCATGTTGTCCAGGCTGGTCTCAAACTCCTGGGCTCAAGTGATTTGCCCACTCGACCTCTCAAAGTACTGGGATTACAAGCATGAGCCACTGCGCTTGGCCAACCTCAGCTCTACAAAAAAGAAAAAAAAAGTCCAGGCACAGTGGCTGACTCCTGTCATCCCAGCACTTTGGGAGGCCAAGGAGGGCAGATCACTTGAGGTCGTTAGTTCAAGACCAACCTGACCAACATGGAGAAACCCCGTCTCTACTAAAAATACAAAATTAGTCGGGCGTGGTGGCGCATGCCGGTAATCCCAGCTACTCGGGAGGCGGAGGCAGGAGAATCACTGGGAGACGGAGGTAGTGGTGAACTGGGATCGTGCCATTGTACTCCAGCTTGGGCAACAAGAACAAAACTCTGCCTAAATAAATAAATAGATAAAATTAGCCAGGTGTGCTGGTGTGTTCCAGTAGTCTTAGCTACTTGGGAGGCTGAAGCAGGAGAATCACTTGAGCCCAGGATTTCGAGGCTGCAGTGAGCTATGATCTTGCCACTGCACTCCAGCCTGAATGACAGGGTGAGACCCTGTCTCAAAAAAAAAAAATCACTACTGACAGATCATAACAGATAAAATAATCAAGAAAAAGTTTGAAATATTGCAAGAATTACCAAAATGTGCCACTGAGACACAAAGTGAGCACAGGCTATTGGAAAAGTGGCACCTACAGACTTGCTCAACACAGGGTTGCCACAAACTTCAATATATAAAAAAATGCACATCTGTGGAACACAATAAAACAAGGTAATACCTCTACAGGGATTGGTACAAGAGTATGCCAGACACTCTTGTATGTGTATCACACAGCTACAGGAGATAATACAGCACATAGAAGTGAAGGATGACATGTAATATGCCATGTGTCCACCCCTTACCGCATGCCCCCTTCTGGCTCCTTTTACTATTACATTTTTTAGAGACAAGGGTCTCACTCTATCACTCAAGCAGGAATACAGTGGTGTGATCATTGCTCACTGCAGCCTCGATCTCCTGGACTCAAGCAATCCTCCTGCCTCAGCCTCCCAAGTAGCTTGGAATACTGGTATGTGCCATCACACCTGACTTTTTACTTTTATTTATTTTTGAAAGACAGCATCTTGCTATGTTGTCCAGGTCTCAAACTCCTGGTCTGGCTCCTTTTATTTATTTTATTTATTTATTTATTTTGAGATGGAGTCTTGTTCTTGTTGCCCAGGCTGGAGTGCAATGGCTCAATCTCAGCTCACTGCAACCTCTGCCTCCCGGGTTCAAGCGATTCTCCTGCCTCCGCCTCCCGAGTAGCTGGGAGTACAGACGTGCGCCACCACACCCAGCTAATTTTTGTATTTTTAGTAGAGACTGAGTTTCACCATGTTGGCCAGGCTGGTCTCAAACTCCTGACCTTGTGATCCGCCCGCCTTGGCCTCCCAAAGTGCTGGGATTACAGGCGTGAGCCACCGCGCCCAGCCTGGCTCATTTTATATGAATACATGTTGTTGTTGTTGCTGTTGTTGTTGTGAGACAGTCTCGTTCAGTCGCCCAGGCTGGAGTGCAGTGGCACAATCTTGGCTCATTGCAACCTCTGCTTCCCAGGCTCAAGCGATTCACGTGCCTCAGCCTCCCGAGTATCTGGGTTCACAGGCGTGTGCCACCACACTCGGCTAATTTTTGTGTTTTTAGTACTGACGGAGTTTTGCCATGTTGGCCAGGCTGGTCTTAAACACCTGGCCTTAAGTGATCCACCCGCCTTGGCCTCCCAAAGTGCTGGGATTACAGGTGTGAGCCACCACACCTGACCTAATATATGTTTTTTCCTTTGTATCTGTGTTTCTAGCTCTGTGTCACAGTACTTTTGTAGACTGTCCAGTTCCCACCCATCACTGAAGTAATTCAGAGCTTTCTTTTGGAGAAGCAGTCATCTCATGGTTAAGAATGCTGGTTTGGAATGAGTCTAGGTTCAAATGTCAGCTCCCCCGCAATCCCCACAATTATGTTATACAACCTTTTTTTTTTTGAGACAGGGTCTCACTCTGTCAACCATTCTGGAGTGCAGCGGTGTGATCATATGATCATAGCTCCCCGTGGCCTTGAACTTTGAACTCCTGAGCTCAAGTGACCCTCCCACGTCAGCCTCCAGAGTATTTGGGACTACAGACACACATCATCACGTTTGGCTCACTTATTTTTATTTTTTGTACAGACAGAGTCTCACCGTGTTGCCCAGGCTGATCTAAAACTCCTGGCCTAAAGCAATCCTCCCACTTCGGCCTCCCAAAGTGCTGGGATTACAGGTGTGAGCCACTGTGCCCAGTCTAATCTTGAACAAATTATTTTACCTCCCTAAGCTACCGGAACAACCACACATGCCACACAACCTGGGAAGGACCAACTCAGCCATTCTCCAGCAGCGAAGTGGCTGCCACCCCAGGGATATCTAACTAGAGGATGTGGGATGGAGGCGTCATGGCAAGGCAAGGCCTGCCCCCTGGTGGTCAGAGAGCATGGGAGGCCCGAGCTACCAATGGTGGCTTTTCTCAACTGGGCCTTGATTCCAGCTTCTGCCCGATCCCCTACCTTGCTTGCCTCCTTCTATCAACACCCCATTCACACCCCAAAGGATCAATATAGGAAAAATTGTCTCTACTATCTCAGCTGTAAGAAGCCCACGGTTTGGGGAGGGAGAAGAGGTCACCACCAGTGGGGACGTGGAATAAGTAACTGGCTGGGGATAAAACTCCACTCTTCCGGCCGGGAGCAGTGGCCCACGCCTGTAATCCCAGCACTTTGGGTGGCCGAGGTGGGCAGATCACCTGAGGTCGGGAGTTCGAGACCAGTCTGGCCAACATGGTGAATCCCCATCTCTACTAAAAATACAAAACTTAGCCAGACGTGGTGGTGCGTGCCTGTAATCCCAGCTACTTGGGTGGCTGAGGCACGAGAATCACTTGAATCCAGGAGGCGGAGGTTGCAGTGAGCCAACATTGTGCCACTGCACTCCAGCCTGGGCAACGAGCAAAACTCCGTCTCAAAAAAAAAAAAAAACAAACTCCACTCTTCCACAGTGTACACTCAATCACATGGTTCTACTCCACGTCCCAAGGCAATGTGGCTTAGAAGACAAATCAGCCTAGGTTGGAGTCCTGGTGCCACTACTGTAAACTGGGGGTACCACCTGTAAACTTCCAGACCCCATTGCCCTAGGTGTTCAATGTGTGGTTCTTCTCCAGTGCTTCCCCCGTCCTGTGCAAGGGTGGCAGTGCCATTGCTACACCTGGACTCAAGGGCATCCTGCTCTCCCAGCTCTTTTCTATATCTAAGACTTCTAAACATTTGTCATAGCTAAAAATGTTCCAGATTCCAAAGACAGTATGTGGGGTTTTTTTTTCAGTCCATCTAGAATAAATCCTGATATGTGTGTACATTCAAGGGACCCCTTTTAATAACTCTGAGAACCTCTAGGGAAGGCTAACCTGCAAGACAGGAACTGCTGCGCTAATCAGCACAGTGGGCACAAGAATGGAACTTTTTTTTTCTTTTTTTTTTCTTGAGACAGAGTCTTGTTCTGTTACCCAGGCTAGAGTGCAGTGGTGCGATCTCGGCTCACTGCAACCTCCGCCTCCCGGGTTCAAGAGATTCTCCTGCCTCAGCCTCCTGAGTAGCCAGGATTACAGGCACCCACTACCATGCCCAGCTAATTTTCATATTTTTAGTAGAGACGGGGTTTCACTATCTTGGCCAGGCTGGTCTTGAACTCCTGACCTCGTGATCCACCCACGTCGGCCTCCCAAAGTGCTGGGATTACAGGCGTGAGCCACTGCATCCATCCTGGCCAAGGATGGAACTTTTCTAAAGAAATTATTCCCAGGCACTCAAGAGGAAAGGCAACAAATAAAACAGTGTTGAAGTGGATGTGCACTGGTCTCTGTTTTTGTGTGTGTTTTTTTTGTTTTTTTTTTTTTGAGAGGGAGTCTCGCTCTGTCGCCCAGGCTGGAGTGCAGTGGTGTGATTTCCGCTCACTGCAACCTCTGCCTCCCGGGTTCAAGCGATTCTCCTGCCTCAGCCTCCCAAGTAGCTGGGACTACAGCGCCTGTCACCATGCCTGGCTAACTTTTTTGTATTTTTACTAGAGACAGGGTTTCACCATGTTGGCCAGGCTGGTTTTGAACTCCTGACCTCAAGTGATCCACCTGCTTCAGCCTCCCAAAGTGCTAGGATTACAGGCGTGAGCCGCCGCACCCAGTCTCTGGTCTGACTTCTTTAACAACAAGCTGTGGGCTGGCTGGATGTAGTTGAGGCCAATAAACTCCCAACTCAGACCATGAAAACAGGTGAAAACACAAAAGTCCACAATCCAGCACAGGTGATCTCATCTTTCCCCCACCCCCACCAGGGTTCCTCTACGTGCTGGCAGGGGTGAGATTGGGTGACTTCTCTGGCCAAGTCTTATCAATATTTTTCAACTAATGAATGGCTCCCAGGTGATGATACTTTCAGCTTCTGAGAACAGCTTCTCCTCTGAGGCTCATAGCATCTGACCTCACGACCTTCAATCTCTCCTTGGTGTCGTCCACTCGCCCTCACATTCATCAAGAGCCCATCCCTGACTCTGCAGCCTCTTCTCTATTTATTTTTTCTTTCTTTTTTCTTTTTTCTTTTTTTTTTTTTTTGAGACAGAGTTTTGCTGTTGTTGCTGGAGTGCAATGGCGTGATCTTGGTTCACCGCAACCTCTGCCTCCCAGGTTCAAGCGATTCTCCTGCCCCAGCCTCCAGAGTAGCTGGGATTACAGGCACCTGCCACCATGCCAGGCTAATTTTTGTATTTTTAGTAGAGAAAAGGTTTCACCATGTTAGCCAGGCTGGTCTCGAACTCCAGACCTTGTGATCCGCCCACCTCGGCCTCCCAAAGTGCTGGGATTATAGGCGTGAGCCACCATGCCCAGCCCACTTCCTCTCTATTTCAACCTCTGCCAACTCCTTAATGGACTTAATGTCCATATGAATGACTTTTTTTTTTTTTTTTTTTGAGAGAGAGTCTTGCTCTGTCACCCAGGCTGGAGTGCAGTGGCGTGATCTCGGCTCCCTGCAAGCTCCACCTCCTGGGTTCACGCCATTCTCCTGCCTCAGCCTCCCTAGTAGCTGGGACTACAGGCACCAGCCACCATACCTGGCTAATTTTTTTGTATTTTTTAGTAGAGACAGGGTTTCACCATGTTAGCCAGGATGGTCTCAATCTCCTGACCTCGTGATCCACCTGCCTCGGCCTCCCAAAGTGCTGGGATTACAGGCGTGAGCCACCGTGCCCAGCCATAAATGACATTTTTAAACATTGATATATAATTTCATACAGTAAAATGCACAGATCTTAATGTACAGTTTGATGACCTTTGGCCAATATGTACACCCATGCAACCACACTGTAATAGAGATATAGATAATTCTCATTATCCTGGAAAATTCCTCCATGCCCCTTTTTGGTAAATCCCTTTCCCCTCCTAGATGCAACCATTTTACCATTTTTAACCTCTGTAGACTTTTTTCTTGGGACAGAGTCTTGCTCTGTTACCCAGGTTGGAATGCAGTAGTGCAATTATAGTTCACTGCTGCCTTGACCTCCTGGGCTCAAGCCATCCTCCCACCTCAGTCTCCTGAGTAGCTACGACTACAGGCATATGCCACCGCACCCAGCTAATTTTTTAACAGTTTTTTTGTAGGCTGGGTGCAGTGGTTTAGGCCTATAATCCTAGCACTTTGGGAGGCCGAGGCAGGGGGATCACAAGGTCAGGAGCTCAAGACCATGCTGGCTAACACAGTGAAACCCCATCTCTACTAAAAATACAAAAAAAAAAAAAAAAATCAGCCGGGCGTGGTGGCACATGCCTATAGTCCCAGCTACTCGGGAGGCTGAGGCAGGAGAATTGCTTGAACCTGGGAGGCAGAGGTTGCAGTGAGCCGAGATCGCGTCATTGCACTCCAGCCCGGGTGACAGAGCAAGACTCTGTCTCAAAAAAAAAAAAAAAATTTTTTTTTGTAGAGACGAGGTCCTTCTATGTTGCCCAGACTGGATTCTAACTCCTGGGCTCAAGTGATCCTCCTGCCTTGACCTCTCTAAGTGTTGGGATTACAGGCCTGAGCCACTGCGCTCGGCCTCTATAGATTAGTCTGTTCTTGAACATCATATTAATGGAGTCATATAGTACATACTCTTGTATCTGGCTCCTTTCATTCTGCTTAATGTCTGTGAGATTCGCCCACGCTGTTGTATGTATCAGTGTTTCATTCCTTTTTTTTGCTGAGTGGTAATCCTTTATATGATGTAGCACAGCTTGTTGATCTATTCACCTGATGAAGTACAATTGGGTTGTTTCTATTTTTTGTTTTTCTTATTATGGCTCAATCTGCTATGAAACTTCTTGTACCCATCTCGCAAATGCCTTTTCAATACCCTAAGTGTGCAACTTCACAGTTATTTCACCTTGTCCACTCCAATCATCACCTTGACTCTCCATGACCTACATCTCAGATCCTGTCACCATGGAAGCTGTTTCACTTTGAAATCTCACCTCCTCTTTCCCAAGGACATAAAAGCCATCCAACCTGAGTCCCCCAGACTCCTGTACCCTAAACGTGTGCTTTTATACCACTGTCCTGTTGGAAAATTTTTGGGTTGTTTCTCCCACTTTTTTTTTTTTTTTTTTTTGAGACAGAATTTTGCTCTTGTTGCCCAGGCTGGAGTGCAATGGTGCGATCTCGGCTCACTGCAACCTCCGCCTCCTGCGTTCAAGTGATTCTTCTGCCTTAGCCTCCCAAGTAGCTGGGATTACAGGCATGTGCCACCACACCCAGCTAATTTTGTATTTTTGGTAGAGATGGGGTTTCACCATGTCGGTCAGGCTGGTCTCGAACTCCTGACCTCAAGTGATCCGCCTGCCTCGGCCTCCCAAAGTGCTGGGATTATAGGCATGAGCTAGCACCCCTGGCCCCACTTTCTTTTTAAAAAGTGTTATTATATATTTTTTATTATATATATTTTTGAGATGAGATCTCACTATGTTGCCCAGGCTAGTCTCAAAGTCCTGACTCCGGGCTTTAGGTGTTCCTCCGACCTCAGCCTTTCACGTAGCTGGGATTATAGGCATGCACCTGGCTTCCCACTTTCATTCAATAAATTTTGCGCATCTACCATGGCTTTCCTAGGCAATCCTGTCATAGCCACAGTTGTCACTACTGCTTATTCTCTGTCAAGTCCCCAATCTACATCTCCCCCTCAGGCCTCTTTCTTGAGACCTAAGTCCACACTATCTAACTGCTCTCTAGGCGGCTTACCCTGAATACTCCACAGGCATTTCAAAGTCATCAGTGTCCACTCAGACCAGGTCAGCCTCCTGTCATCCCTGTCCCAGTGAATGGAAACACAAAGCCCCAGTCACTTAAGGCAAACACCTGGGATTCATCCTACTCTGCCTTCTCCCTCAGTTCCCCCATCCAAAAGATCTCCAGGCCCTGTCCATTTTGCTTCTGAAAGATCGCAGGTGTCTTTCCCTTGCTCTTCATTCCACTGGTTGCTAAATCCCTCATCAACTCAAGGGGAAACGAGCAGAGTTGCTTCTCTGATGGGTAGTGTGGTTTCTGCACAGCATCCCCTTCATCCCACCACTGCTGGGCATTGAGGTTCATTCATCTATTCAGCATTGCTCTTCACGAGGGCCTTCCATGGGCCAGACACCCTATCTTCATCTCTCTTAATCGCTCTTTTCAGTATCTCTCTCCTTATCTCTCATATTTCCCACAGCTCTGTCCACAACTCTTTCTGTCTCACCATGTTATTCATATTACTTGTTTCTTCCCCCGTGTCCACTCAAACGCCACATCTCTACACACCCCTACCCCTCTGCCTCTCTGTCACATGCATACACACTTCTGCTTATTCACTCATTCAACAAATATTCAGCGAGCACCTTCCACGTGAGACATTCTATTTTTTTTCTTTTTTTTTTTTGCGCTCTCAGCTCACTGTAACCTCCACCTCCCAGGTTCAAATGATTCTCCTGCCCCAGCCTCCAGAGTAGCTGGGATTACAGGCACATGCCACCACCCCTGGCTAATTTTTGTATTTTTAGTAGAGATGGGGTTTTGCCATGTTGGCCAGGCTGGTCTTGAACTCCTGGCCTCAAGTGATCCACCTGCCTCAGCCTCCCAAAGTGCTGGGATTACAGGTGTGAGCTGCCGTGTCTGGTCTGCCTCTCCGTCTTTCTCTCTCTCTGTCTTCCTCCATCTCTCTTCGCATCGCTTTCTGCCTCCCCATCATTCTCCATGTTTTCCCTTCCCATCTCTCCCCATCTACATACCTTATTCTTTTACTCCATTTCTCTTCCTTCCCCATTTCTCTCTGGGTGAGAGAATGAAGGAAGGCTAGTGACTAGTCACCTCTTCCCTCTAGGGGCCAGAGTTCAGGCCTGCCTCAGCTCTGCCAGGCTGGTTGGCACTACTCTTGTTTGCCCTTGGAGTCTCTGCACAAGGATGCTTAAAAAAAAAAGTTTAGGCCAGGCACAGTGGCTACCGCTTGTAATCCCAACACTTTGGGAGGCCGAGGAGGGTGGATCACGAGGTCAGGAGTTCGAGACCAGCCTGACCAATATGGTGAAACTCCGTCTCTACTAAAAATACAAAAAGTAGCCAGGCGTGGTAGCATGCACCTGTAATCCCAGCTACTCAAGAGAAGAATCGCTTGAACCCAGGAGGCAGAGGTTGCAGTGGGCCAAAATCACGCCACTGCACTCCAGTCTGGGCGACAGAGTGAGACTCCATCTCAAAAAAAAAAAAAATTTGTGCAGCAGCGACAGAAAAGTAACCTACAATATTAGAGGAAGACTCACATCTCTCAGAAACTATATATTAAGCAGGCAAAAAAATTATTAAAGACAACGGGCGCGGTGGCTCATGCCTGTAATCGCAGCACTTTGGGAGGCTGAGGAGGGTGGATCACGAGGTCAGGAGGTCAAGGCTATCCTGGCTAACACGGTGAAGCCCCATCTCTACTGAAAATACAAAAAATTAGCCAGGCGTGGTGGCATGCATCTGTAGTCCCAGCTACTAGGGAGGCTGAGGCAGGAGAATCGCTTGAACCTGGGAGGTGGAGGTTGCACTGAGCTGACATCACTTCACTGCACTCCAGCCTGGGTGACAGAGCGAGACTCCATCCCAAAAACAAAACAAAACAAACAAAACACACGCACACACAAAGGTGGGAGTGTTATGTAAGAGAACTGCAGGGGATATTTCCACTCCCAGGCTCAAAGGGGTGAGGGGAGAGAGAGGTTACAGCAGTGGTTCTTAGTTATTTTGTGCCACAGATCCCTTTGGCATTCTAGTAAAGCATAAAATTTAAAAAATATACATACAAAAACAAATCGGCCAGGCGCAGTGGCTCACGCCTGTAATCCCAACACTTTGGGAGGCCGAGGCAGGTGGATCACCCGAGGTCAGGAGTTCGAGAGCAGCCTGGCCAACATGACAAAACCCTGTCTCTACTAAAAACAAAAAATTAGCTAGGCATGGTGGTCGGCGCCTGTAATCTTAACTACCTGGGAGGCTGAGGCAGGAGAATTGCTGGAACCGGGAGGCGGAGGTTGCAGTGAGCCGAGATCACGCCATTGCACTCCAGTCTGGGTGACAGAGCAAGACTCCGTCTCAAAAAAAAAAAATTGCATCGAAATCAAATTCCAGTTATCAAAATATTAATAAAAACTTTCAATAGAGTAAATTGAAACTGTCCCAAGATTGACAAGAATTGCATGCTGGGATCTGGGCAGAAATATAGTTATAATTAAGCATAAACCAGGCTGCACTTTGGCTCACTGCTCTATTCCTGCAAGTCTCCAGATCCTGACCATCTGCATCCCCGTTGTGCTAACATTAGGATGAGAATGTCTCTATATTATGATCCATTGTCTCTATATTTAAAAAAAAAAAAAAAAAGAAGCCAGGCACGGTGACTTACGCCTGTAATCCTGACACTTTGGGAGGCTGAGGAGGGCGGATCACGAGGTCAAGAAATCCAGACCATCCTGGCCAACATGGCAAAACCCTGTCTCTACTAAACATACAAAAAAATTAGCTGGGCTTGGTGGCGCGCATCTGTAGTCCCAGCTACTCAGGAGGCTGAGGCGGGAGAATCTCTTGAACCCATGAGGCAGAGGTTGCAGTGAGCCAAGATCATGCCACTGCACTCCAGCCTGGGTGACAAAGCAAGACTCTATCTAAAAAAAAAAAAAAAAAAAAAAAAAAAAAGACCAGCACTGTGGCTCACGCCTGTAATCCCAGCACTTTGGGAGGCCAAGGTGGGCAGATCACGAGGTCAAGAGTTTGAGACCAGCCTGGGCAACATAGTGAAACCCCATCTCTACTAAAAATACAAAAAAATAATGGCATGAACCCAGGAAGTGGAGCTTGCAGTAAGCTGAGATCCTGTCACTGCACACCAGCCTGGGCGACAGAGCGAGACTCCGTCTCAAAAAAAAAAAAAAATTGCTGGACGTGGTGGCGGGTGCCTGCAATCCTAGCTACTTGGGAGGCTGAGGCAGGGGTATCACTTGAATCCGGAAGGTGGAGGTTGCAGTGAGCCGAGATCGCGCTACTGCACACCAGCCCGGGCGACAGTGTGAGACTCTGTCTCAAAAAAAAAAAAAAAAGATAATTAGTCACCATGGCTGGGTGCAGTGGCTCATGTCTGTAATCCCAGCACTTTAGGAGGGCAAGGCAGGTGGATCACCTGAGGTCAGGAGTTCGAGATCAGCCAGAGCCAACATGATGAAACTCCTTCTCTCCTACAAAATACAAAACTTAGCTGGGCGTGGTGGCGGGCACCTGTAACCCCAGCTACTCCGGAGGCTGAGGCAGGAGAATTGCTTGAACCCAGGAGGAGGAGGTTGCAGTGAGCTGAGATCATGTCACTGCACTCCAGCCTGGGTGACAGAGAGAGACTCCATCTCAAAAAAAAAAAAAAAAAAAAACCTAAGGCGTGGTGGCACATGCCTGTTGTCCCAGCTACTCAGGAGGCTAGGGTGGGAGGATCACTTGAGCCTGGAGGTTGAGGCTGCAGTGAGCCATGACCATGCCACTGCACTCCAGGCTGGGCAACAGAACAAGACGCTGACTCAAAAGGAAGAAAAGAAAGAGAAGAAAAGTCTATCTGGGTATGATGATGACTCCTAATATCTTCTCTCTGGTGGTTGATCTGGTCATTTGATAAGATCTCTAGGCAGGAGGTCTTAAGACAATTGCACTTCTTTTGCAAAGAAGTTTTTTCAGTCAGATAAGGAAATTCCAGAAAGTGTGGTAGGACAATTCTAAGGCAGCTTCTAAGGCCTCTCAGCATTTCAAAGCACCAGTCTTTGGGGTATCACTTTCTGAGCCCCAGCATCTTCTTGCATGTCTATTCTTTTCCCCTCATCTCTGTTTCCTTCTCAGAAGGCCCTGAGTTTCCTTCTCCACCCGCTTGTCTTCCTATATACCCTTCAGTATTCACTTTTTTTGGTGGGGGGGATGGAGTTTCGCTTATTGCCCAGGCTGGAGTGCAATGGCGTGATCTCGGCTCACTGCAATCTCCACCTCCCAGGTTCAAGCGATTCTCCTGCCTCAGCCACCCAAGTAGCTGGGATTACAGGCATGCGCCACCATGCCTGGCTAATTTTGTACATTTAGTAGAAACGGGGTTTCTCCATGTTTGTCGGGCTGATCTCAAACTCCTGACCTCAGGTGATCTGCCTGCCTCGGCCTCCCAAAGTGCTGGGATTACAGGAGTGAGCCACCGCGCCAGGCCTAGTCTTCATTTTTGTCCCACAGTCAGAGCAGCTGTCATTCTCTCTATCCCAGGCAGTTTTTCTGAGCATCTAAGCACTGTCTCACCCCAGTAGTCTGTCAAGCCATTCTCAATGGAAAGACCAGTCTGGGAGGCAGTCTCACTCAGAATAAAAGCCAGAGTCTTTACAAGGCCCTACCCAAGCTGACCTCCTCCTCACCTGGCTTCAGCAGCACAGGCCTCCCTGCTACTCCATGAACACTCCAGATATCCACACTGCTCTCACATCAGGGCCTTTGAACTTGCTGTTCCCTCCACCTGAAATGTTCTTCTCCCATTGTGATATTGTTATAATAAAAATATATATTTTTGGGCCCGGGTGTGGTGGCTCACACCTGTAATCCCAGCACTTTGGGAGGCCGAGGGGGGCAGATCACGAGGTCAGGAGATCAAGACCATCCTGGCTAACATGGTGAAACCTCGTCTCTACTAAAAATACAAAAAAAAATTAGCCGGGTGTGGGGGCAGGCACCTGTAGTCCCAGCTACTCGGGAGGCTGAGGCAGGAGAATGGCGTGAAACCAGGAGGCGGAGCTTGCAGTGAGCCGAGATCGCCACTGCACTCCAGCCTGGGCGACAGAGCGAGACTCCATCCCCCCACAAAAAAAAAGGCCAGGCGCGGTGGCTCATACCTGTAATCCCAACACTTTGGGAGGCCAAGGCGGTCAGATCACAAGGTCAGGAGATCGAGACCATCCTGGCTAACATGGTGAAACCCCGTCTCTACTAAAAACACAAAAAATTAGCCGGGCGTGGTGGCAGGCGCCTGTAGTCCCAGCTACTCAGGAGGCTGAGGCAGGAGAATGGCGTGAACCTGGGAGGTGGAGCTTGCAGTGAGCGGAGATCGCGCCACTGCACTCTAACCTGGGCAACAGAGCAAGACTCCATCTCGGGGAAAAAATAAATAAATATGTATATATATGGGTTGGGTGTGGTGGTTAACACATGTAATCCCAGCACTCTAGAAGGCTGAGACCAGAGGATCACTTGAGCCCAGGAGTTCAAGACCAGCCTGGGCAACCTGGCGAGACTTCATCTCTACAAAAAATTTTAAAATGAGCCAGGCATGGTGGTGCGGGTCCCAGCTGCTTGGGAGGCTGAGATGGAAGGATTGCTTGAGCCCAAGAAGTTGAGGCTGCAGTGAGCTATGATGGTGCCACTGCACTCCAACCTGGATGACAGAACAAGAAACTGTCTCAAAAAAATAAAAATAAAAAAAAAAAAAAGGTCAGGCACGGTGGCTCAGGCCTGTAATCCCAGCACTTTGGGAGGCCAAGGTGGGAGGATTACTTGAGCCCAGGCAGTCAAGACCAGCCTGGGCAACACAAGGAGACCCTGTCTCTAAAAAAAATTTTAAAAATTAGCCAGGTGTGGTGGCACATGCCTGTAGTCCCAGTTACTCAGGAGGCTGACAAGGGAGGATCGCTTGAGCCTGGGAGGTCAAAGCTGCAGTAGCCATGTTTGTGCCACTGCACTCCAGCCTGGATAACAGAACGAGACCCTGTCTCCCTGTCTCAAAATATTAATGTGTGTGTGCGTGCGTGTGTGTGTGTGTGTGTGTGTGTGTTTTGGTCTCCATCCTGGCTCCTGGCCAGACCTCCTAAAGCCCTTGTAATTTCCTAAATGATAAAGTGAAGGGAGCTTTTGTTATTCATAACAAGCTCTTTTCAACCACAACTGAGTTTATGTTAGTAAGTTGACTTTTAGAAAGCCCCTAAGGTTGGGGTTTGTTGCCAAGGTAGGCAACTGTGTGATTAGAGAGTTAGAACTTTTAGCTCCAACCCTCTGACCTCCAACTAATGGCTATTGAATCAAGTATGCCTGCATAATGAAGCCTCCATAAAAAAAAACAAAAAAGATGAGGGTTGGAGAGCTGCCAGGTTGATGAACACATGGAGGTGCAGGGAGGTGCCCAGAGAGGACAAGAAAGCTCCAAATCCCCCTTCCCCGATACTTTGTCCGGAGCAACTCTTCCATCTGACTGTTCCTAAGTTTTATCCTTCATAATAAACTAGCTAACATAAGTAAAGTGTTTACCTGAGTTCTGCGTGCTATTCCAGCGAATTACTGAGCCAGAAGAGGGAGTCATAAAAACAGTTAGGAGGCCTGGACTTGTTTGTGATTGGTATCTGGAGTGGGGGCAGCCTTGTAGAACTGAGCCCTTCAACTTGGGGATTAGATAACTGGTAATTATGGGTAGAGTGTCAGAACTGAATTAAACTGCAGGACTCCCAGTTAATATCTACCAAGAACTGAAGAATTGATTGGTGTGGGAGAAGTCTCCACATGATTGGTGTAAGAAGTGGTGTTCTTGGC